>NC_000011.10:38544848-38696363 GCF_000001405.40 Homo sapiens | reverse complement strand
AGCCACTGTCTTTCAGACCCCAGAATTGTAGATCCACCGACAGCTTGCACTGTGAGCCTGGAAAAGCTGCAGACACTCAACACCAGCCCATGAAAGCAGCCAGGAGGGAGTCTGTACCCTGCAAAGCCACAGATACGGAGATGCTGAACACCATGGGAACCCACCTCTTGCATCAGTGTAACCTGGATATGAGACCTGGAGTCAAAGGAGATCATTTTGGAGCTTTAACATTTGACTGCCCTGCTCTATTTCAGACTTGCGTGGGGCCTGTAATCCCCTTGTTTTGGCCAATTTATCCCATTTGGAATGGCTGTATTTACCCAATACCTGTACCCCCCACTATATCTAGGAAGTAACTAGCTTGTTTTTGATTTTACAGGTTCATAGGTAGAAGGGACTTGCCTTGTCTCAGATGAGACTTTGGACTGTGGACTTCGAAGTTAATGCTGAAATGAGTTAAGACTTTGGGGATTGTTGGGAAAGCATGATTGGTTTTGAAATGTGAGGACATGAGATTTGGAGGGGCCAGAGGTGGAATAACATGGTTTGGCTGTGTCCCCATCCAAATCTCAACTTGAATTGTATCTCCCAGAATTCCCACGTAGTTTAGGAAGGACCCTGGGGGAGGTAACTGAATCTTGGGGGCCGATCTTTCCAGTGCTATTCTCATGATAGTGAATAAATCTCACGAGATCTGATGGGTTTATCAGGGATTTCTGCTTTTGCTTCTTCCTCATTTTTCTCTTGCCACTGTCATGTAAGAAGTGGCTTTCACCTCCCACCACAATTCTGAGGCCTCCCCAGACATGTGGAACTATAAGTCCAATTCAACCTCTTTTTGTTCCTAGTTTCGGGTGTGTCTTTATCAGCAGCGTGAAAACGAACTAATACAGATGTCCATCAATAAATAGGCCACCTCTTCTCCAAGTGGATCTGAACACGTAGTGAAATTGAAATACAATAGAAAGTAAGCATAGAGGCCACTATATAATGTTGACTGCCAATAGAGTCTAATTTGGCAGCATAAATTTAGTTTGTTAAATGAATGGAGTTGTCAATATTTATCAACAGAATTTGACAAATTTGCCAGTGACGGGGAGTCTTGTCCAGAAAATGATTTTAAAATGAAGAAGCAGGAAAAAATCATTTTCTGTGTTGATAGCCAAACTCTCAAGAGAATATAGGTGCTGGAGTTGAATTGAATATGTCCAATCTTTCCAAATTCATAATTCTGATGTATCATTTCACATTTCTCTGAGAAGCAATGATCAAAGGATGGAGAGAATCCAGGAGCATACTTAGATAAATTCTTTATATATCAGAGGTAAATAAAAGTGTTTGTTTTAGCAGCTTCTAAGTCTGTGTCTCCACACAGGGCTTAGCTATACTTCTTTTAGTTCATCTCATCTGAAGAAATCTCTTTAAATGCCATTTATCTGAATATAAACTCCATACTTACCATTTAGTCTTGGTATGTCCCTTCAGTTTCAGTCTTATATAGCTTTACTCAAAATCTCAACTTGGATGTGTACTGGACATCTGAAATTCAAAGAATTCTCAATTTCTACTCACTGCTCAATTTCCTCTCATTGTCTTTCTCACCTCTTTAAACAGTAAAGCTGCAGTATCTTCCCTTTCAAGCAAAGCCCATACATATACTGAGAGATACACATAAACGCTCTTATTCTTTCAACCCTCATATTTTATTAGTCACTGAATTCTTATGGGTCTACTTCTAAATTATACTAAAATTGTATTATATATGCCTTTTATTCCCATTTCTGCTAGTCACTGGCCTCCAAAAATATATCTTTACAGTGTCACTTTATTTATTTTATTCATATTGCAATCTAATCACAACCTGAATTCTGCTATGTGTTTATTGTTTCACTCTTTTTTGATTTCCCCTAAGAGAATTTTAGTTGCATATTGGAACTGTCTTCCCTGACATTTACAATGCTCTATCCCTAGTACCTAGATCGGTGCCTGAAGTCTAGAAAATGTTCTCTATATATTTGGCATATGAATTAATACATAACTAAATAGTGCCCTGTGAATAAAGCTACATCTTAAAAAAAAAAAACTTTTGTTTTAAGTTCAGTTGTACATGTGCAGGTTTGTTGTACAAGTAAACTATGTCATGGGGTTTGTTGTACACATTATTTCATCACCCAGGCAGTAATCCAAGTACCCATTAGTTTTTTCTTCTCCTAACTATCCTCTCATCCTCCACCCTTTGATAGGCTCCAGTGTAAAATATTCCCCACTTTGTGTTCATGTATTCTCATGATTTAGCTCCCACTTATAAGTGATAACACGTGGTGTTTGGTTTTCTGTTCCTGTGTTAGTTTGCTAAGGGCAATGGCCTCCAGCTTCATCCTTGTTCCTGCAGAGGACATAATTTCATTCTTTTTTATGGCTGCATAGTATTCCATGGGGTATATTTTCTTTATCCAGTCTACCACGGTTGGGCATTTAATTTGAATCCATGTCTTTGCTATTTTGAATAGTGCTGCAATGAACATATGAGTGCCTGTGTCTTTATAATTGAACAATTTTCATCCCTTTGGGTATATACCCAGTAATGGGATTACTGAGTCAAATGGTAGTTCTGTTTTTGCCTGTACAGGTGGTCACTTAGCGCAGGGGAGGGTCCAGCATTTTCTGCCCTAGTTTTACTCCCATGGCAGTTTTGGTGCAGAGGCCAGCACTGGTGGGGGTGGGGCTGGCTGGCTCTGTGTTTGCCAAGGTTCTGACTGCAATGGCAGTATGGCAGGCCAAGAGAGGGCAGAGTGGCTCCCCCTTCAGCAGTGACTGGGCATGGTGAACATATACACATGCATTGGCTGTGCAAGGAAGGCAAAACCTGCCTGGCCCACAAACCAGCAAAGTGATATCTGGAGTGGCCATTGTCCCTGGGGAAGTTGCAGTAACAGGAGGGAGCTAGTGGGCTGGTGCATGGCCAGGGGGTTCAGCCTACTGGAGCTCTCCACCAGTCATGCACAGTCCACCAGTACTGGAACTATGATGCGGGCCCCAAGGGCAGCTGAGGCTACCCTGCAAGCAGGTGCAGCCAGGCTGGAACCCTGTGAGAAGCCAGCAGACCAAGCAGTACTCAGGTCAGAACAGCCCCATCTGGTCAAGGGGAAGATCACCTTGCAGAGTTCAGGTCTGACAGTTCCCCTAGGGCCAGTTTCCTATGGAAGAAGTCGAGCTTAGGAGGATAAATGTCACTGGCTGTGCCCCGCTATAGAAGTTCCTGTACCAAATCTTCTGAGCTCACGTCAGCTGGCTTGCTGCTCCTACCACTTCTCCAAACAGTGCTTCCTGCTAACTCTACTGTCTGTGGTGGTCGAGGGGTCACCTCCTGCCTGGATTCCAGAGGCTCATGGCAAGAGCGGGTTGCTCCTTGCTACTTCAACTCACCAGTTATCCTGGGGTCATAGGGGACCAGGAATGAGTCCCAGTGCAAGGTAGCCCTATACAGAGTTTACAGCTTTCTTCCCTTCAGCCCAGTTTCTGCGTCTTTCCTCTGAAGAGGAGTGCACCAGTCTTCTCGGTCCCCCAGTGGCAGCTATTCCACCTGGCTGCTTCTAGTCAGCCATCTTGTCCAGCCCTGAAAAAATCTATTTCATATTAAATAAACAAATATAGATATATATTTTTTTGAGACAGAATCTCTCTCTGTCGCCCAGGCTGGAGGGTAGTGATGTGATCTTGGCTCACTGCAACCTCTGCCTCCCAGGTTCAAGTGATTCTCCTGCCTCAGCCTCCCAAGTAGCTGGGATCACAGGCGCCCACCACCACAACTGGCTAATTTTTTGTATTTTTAGTAGAGACAGTGTTTCACCATGTTGGCCAGTCTAGTCTCAAACTCCAGACCTCAGATGATCCCCCTTCCTCAGCCTCCCAAAATGCTGAGATTACAGGTGTAAGCCACTGCGCCTGGCCTTAAATTAATATATTGTTCCATAGGCCAGGGAACTAAAAATATTACATAACAAAAATATCTACTTAAATAATAATAAGTTAGTAAATATTTTAACCATACTTTAAAAAACATTATGTTTTCTGGTATTTATCCAATATATTTTACTGACCATTAAACAGATTGCAAGTGCATCTTCCTGAAATAAATTAAAAATAAAACAAAAATTAAAATTCTTTACACTTTGGAAGATATTTTCCTCAATTTATGGTTAATTTCTTACTGTATAAATGGCTGTGTAGAATGTGTATACTAATTTAAACCAGAAAAAAAAATAGATGTGAGAGTAACTGATTTGCTAGATCTATGCTAACACAAATTATCCTTTTTTTGCTTATATATATTTTTAAGTTTTGCTAATCCCTTTTTATTGTCTCACTAATCTAATATCCTTACACACCAAGGAGAATATCATTCCATGTGCCTAATGTCAAAAAATATTTCTAACTCACTTCCCTCCAGTATGGGGCACTTCTACACTTACTCACCTCTCCCGCCAAAAAAACAAAACAAACAAACAAACAAACAAAAAATCCTAAGTTTAACATCCTCAAGGTTCAGGATTGGTATTACCACTTTTTGAAATCTCTCTCAATTCCACTAGGCTTTTTTTTTTTTCTTCTCCCACTACACAATAGCACTTTGCTATTCTATCTCCGAACTATATTAAACTAGTTTACATTTTTTCTTTAGTATCATTATTATATTATAATAAAGCGACAATGCTTGGAACTGATAAAGAGTAGGAAAATTGTAGTCAAATGTACCTACTTTGAAAGACATTGATTTTGAAATTCTCTAGCTGTATTACTTTGGTTAAATTATGTAAGGCTTTCAAGATTAAAAGCCCAATTAGAATAACCTGTACAACTATATATATATATATGTTAATATAAGAATATTTACCAATTAATAGTTGTAAATCTTAATTAAAACAATGAATATTTCAATTAATATATAATTTGCAACTTAAATCTTCACAGATTCTCAATAAATATTAAATATCATTATCATTGCTTTATTATTTATATGACAGTAATTGGTATGTATGCCTGTTTTCTGTGGATTCCTTCATGACAGAGAAAAATTATAATTTATTCTTTGACCACCTCTGTTTGGCTTACAAAATTTCCAGAATATAGCAAATTAGGACACAATGTCTGGACACAAACAACATCTCTGTGTTAGTGTGGAATGCTTTCAAACTAGAAACAACCTAGAAAAATTGATAAATATGTAGACATACAACTACAGTTGGAATCCTAAGTTTTGGTTGTAACAAATGTGTCAAGTTAAAATGAGAATGATTATTCATTAAACTATCTCAAAACTATGTTCCTAAAATGGAAATAAATTTTAGACATCTGAATGGCATTTCATGTATGTGCAAAGTGCCACATCATGATTAACTACATTTTAGGGAACTCTGTCTTTGATACAATATTTATTTTCACTTTGAACTACTTTCTAGTCAAAAAGAAATGCTCAGGAAAAAGAATTTGCATGGCATTAAAGGTTTAAAGCTCTACATGGTTGTATTAGTCAGGGTTCTCTGAAGGGACAAAACTAATAGGATATATGCATGTATAAAGGGGAATTTATTAGGAGAACTGAATCACACAGTCACAAGGTGAAGTCCAACAATAGGCCGTCTGCAAACTGAGGAGCAAGGAAGCCAATCTGAGTCCCAAACCCTCAAAAGTAGGGAAGCTAACAGTTCAGCCTTCAGTCTGTGGCTGGAGGCCTGAGAGCCCCTGGCAAATCACTGATGTAAGTCCAAGAGTCCAAAAGCTGAAGAACTTGGAGTCTGATGTTCAAGGGCAAGAAGCATCCAGCACAGGAGAAAGATGAAGACCAGAAGACTCAGCAAGCCTCCTCATTCCACTTTCTTCTGCCTGCTTCTGCCACTCTAGCCACACTGGCAGCTGATTCGATGGTACCCATCCTAGATTGAAGGTGGGTCTGCCTCTGCCAGTCCACTGACTCAGATGTTAATCTCCTTTGGCAGCACTCTCACAGACACACCCAGGAACAATACTTTGCATCCTCCAATCCAATCAACTTGACACTCGGTATTAACCATTACAATGGTATTATGAGTTCATCAATAAATAGCTTTTACAGTAGACCAAAATGATGATTTCTATTTGTCATTTGCCCTTACCTGTATCTCATTTTCTTTAGTGGCATTCAAGCAAAACAAAACAAAACAAAACAAAAAACCCAAATATCCATTATTGGCTCTAGCTACATACTAGTTCTCTCATACACAACATTTATATAATGCTTAATTTGATCAACTAGGCTAGTAAGCAGCAGTAAAAGAAGAAAAATAGTGTTAATAATTAATATTTATTGGATCTTTCAAGTATATTTACATGCATTATTTTATGTATTCTTTCCAATAATCCAGTGAGTTAGCACTAATATTACCCTATTCATATAGATAAGAAATTTGATGAATAGAGAACATACATATTTAAATTACATAAATTCATATTTATAAAATTACCATCTAATCACTTCCATTTCTTACAAATTTTATTTAAAAGTGTTTAATTAAGTTAACTTACCAGTTAAAGCATTGCTTAAATCTTTATCTATCTGTGAATACAAATATCTTTGTGCATAGTATATTTAACACAACAGTGCAAGTCTATTAATATTTTTTAGAATGCGTTTTGTTTTTCACCCTTACATAATCAATGAGGTGAAACACTAAAATATTTATCTTCTAGTTTAGCCAATTATTTCAAATAATTTAATGTATTAAGGATTGAAAAATACAATCAGTTAATTCTTTTTGATATAAAATGTAACACTATGGAGTCTCAATTTGAAATATAGCTTCTACCTTTTCTAACTCTGTTACTTAGCCAGTCAGTAAATTTCTCTGAGGCTAATTTTCCTTATCTCTGAAATATACCATGAAATTTCCTCCCTGTTTCACAAAGCTATTAGGTTGAAAAGTTAAAATAGTTGATATTTTGTAAATCAGAAAAAATTATTATTATTAGGTGTTTAAAACATTCAATAAAGGTAAAAGTTTTTAATTTTAGAACAATCACACATTCATTTGTATTCTTTTTTTATTGGTGAATATTCAACTCAGATCATTGATTGTGATGAATCATCATTAAGGAATTTTCTATCAAGCCTCTGTTTTTAGTTAGCTTCCATCTCTGTGTCACAGAAACCTACATGTCAGTGAATGTAACTAAAATTAAAAGCAATATTATCTTATGTCAAAAACCCATCACTCTGATGCACTTGTAGCTTTCTTTCAAAGGGGTATTTTTCATGAAGATTTAATGTTGGTTTAACACCAGTTTGTTTTTGTTTTTGTTTTTGTTTTTTTACCTTGAGTGCTTTAAAGTGGGAACTTGTTCTTATTCCCAAATCATCTATACATTCCATTTTGAAAGTCAAATTACTTTTAAAATTAATCGTAAGTTCTCTTCAGAGTTAAGAAAGAAGATTGAGGAGAGAGAATTAAAGGATTCTAGGAATTTTATTCATGTTTTAGACAATAACACACCACTAGAATACAGAGTGAAAATTATTAACATGCAAAAAAAACTATGATTAACAACTATCAGAGAAGTGTTAAAGTTTGTAAAGGCAAATAAATAGAATATTACTAAAAAGGGAAAAATAAAGTCAATAACAATTGTGAAAAATATTTCAAAAATAATAAAAAATAAAAAGAGAGGGAGACAGTGATAAGAAATTACCTACTCTCATGTCAATTACTGGAGAACAGCTGACATCCTAATAAAAGTTCTATAAATGCTATATATCATTAAATCTTTCTTAATATAATATCAGATATCTAAGAATAATATGCACTTGTGCTTTTGTCTCTAAACTATAAAGTCATATATAACCACGTTTTGAAATTACATTAACTATTTGTGGAAGAAAAATACATTTTTATTTTTAATTGCAAAATAAAATAGTTATTGTATAATAATCAGGTAATAAAACACTTATGGAGTAAAACACAAAAATTTCATTTTGTGTTCTATCTCTGGACTATTTTGCTTTCTATATATACCCTTCCAAATGTAAGCAACGCTATTAGTTTGCTATATTTATACTTCACTCCTCTTTCTGTGCCTTCCTATTCATATGATTTTTTACATATTTAGAATCATATTTTGCATATATGAAAAACTGAAATTATATGCATTTATTTATATAAATTAAATGACGTTGTTTACTTAGTATACATTAGTTTTCCATTTTAGTGCATATAGATCAATCCAATTATCTCAATGAATTTTCTAATTGTCTTTATTATTAATATACTAGCATTTATGCTTTTTATTCATAAGACTCATCTAATTATTTACCAAATTTGGCTTTATAAACTTTATGTGTATATGTATAATATTGTTAATATACATGTTGTTTTATAGAAACTCCAAATTCTTTATTTTTAATTGCCAATGTTTCAGAATTAATTGGGTGCCCTAATATCTACCATTGGCATTACATCGTGTTGCTTATTTTTTTGAGGCTTTCTCTGTTTCTCAGTTATAGAGTAAAATTATTAACATATGTTTGTATGTTCTACATATATTGAATAATATATATTGTAAATTACTACTGTATGCTGCTGAAATCCCCATATAAGTCTTTCTCCCAAGCCTACCACTACTCTATATTATCCTAATGCTATCAGTCTTCAGATATTACCACCACTTTTAGCTTCAACAGGATATTTATGTTCCTGAAATAACATCTACCTATAGGATCTTTTGTGAATTATTGTAGCAAAAAGTTTAAAGTTGATACTAATTTTCCAAAGAAAGCCAATAACAAAAGGATATAGATGAAGCCTAGGTAAGACCAACATGTGGTTGAAACAGGAAAACAATATTTTATCATACCTCTTATGTACTCATCAAACTACAGATTTTGGTAGCATAAATTGTTAAAATCATCTCTGAACTGTTGGATACTTCCATACTCACTGTTCTCTGTGTTCATCTAAGAAAAAGGCACTGATTACGAAAAGAAAATGACACTTACTTCAATCTTGCAAGTCTAGAGAGGTTAGAATACATTCAGCAATGGCATTTATTGTTAGCAGAATCCAGTGTAAATCAGAGATAAAGCTGACATATTTCACAGGCTGCTCACAGTGGGACTATCAGGTGTCACAGTATGTGATGGATTAAATGGGAGGGGGGATTAAAGTTGTGCAAATTGTTTTTGTGCAGGGATTCAAATGTCAGACACAGAAAATGATTAGGGG
Organism: Homo sapiens; assembly: GCF_000001405.40. Taxonomy (NCBI): domain Eukaryota; kingdom Metazoa; phylum Chordata; class Mammalia; order Primates; family Hominidae; genus Homo; species Homo sapiens. Next base: position 38,687,112 of record NC_000011.10, on the reverse strand, counting down.
TGTCTGGTGAAGAATAATAATAAAGCTGACACTGATCTACGGATTGGTTATCACTTAGTTTCAGGGGCTGACGGGCTTTAACCTTTAAACCAGTCAGTCTTTAGTGAGAGAGAATGAAGCTGAATTGATAAACGCAGGAAAGTCTATTCTCTAGTGGGATTTTGACCAGGATTTAATTTCTATTAATTGGCACTTATAAATCTACATTTGCAACACAAAGATAATTAGTCTTCATTATGGGAGGCAGAAGATGGTAAGAGGAATAAATTTAGCATTTGAAATCCAGCTTAGCCTCATACTAAATGGGTGACATTTGGTAAGACATCTTACTGCACATACCTTGATTGTTTGCATCAGTAAAATAAGAATAATAATAAAACCACTGTCTATTTAAAAAGGTTTTATTTAGTCAGGCTCAAAATCAAAATTATAGAGTAAGCTAAAAAACCATTACTTAGGAATTATTCAGACATGGGCTTTCTGAAACTAGTACAAGAGGTAAAAACATCCCTGAAAGCAGATGCTGTATATTGTTAGTGTGCTTAAGGGTATCAAGCATGCTAACATGGATCTGAATAAATCTCTGTAACTTCCATTAGTGAGTTCTAAGTTAAGCATGTTCCTTAGTATACTTACACATCTTCAGAAGTGCAAGATATTACTGGAACTCACTGCTGGTGTTCATAATACATTAAGGTAAACACTTTTTATGTTGTGGCGGTGTTGTAGTTGTTTTATTCTTATGAAATAATGGAGTATTTAAATCCAGTTTTTAATAAAGAAAGCAATTAACTCTTTAAAATATTTACTTGACGACATTAGTATACATCATTTATGTGAGTCCATCTGGGTATGTTCTCAGGATTTTTGTTTTAAAGTGATGACCTCACTTTCACCTGAATCTTACTAAAATGGAACTCTAATAAAGCTGTCAAAACCTGTGAATTGTTCCTAACCAAATTACATATAGCAAGCTATTCATGCGGGATTCTTTTTCTTTTCATGCCTCCGGCTGTTTTGTTGTCTCAGTTTTTACAGTAACTCTCCTGTTCACCTGTGTCAAAAATGTAGAGAAATTTATATTAATACATTTCTTAAGAGATGTAGGTTTCAGTCACTGATAATTTACAATCAGTTTTTTTTATTTTAAAGAATAAAATGTCTCCTTAATAACAATTTTGAATTTAAAAAATCCCTGTTTTACCAAAATCTAACTCTCTAAAATAAAGCTAATTTTAGTTTCATGTTACCTTTTAAAATGTCAACTGTACATGGACTATTTTACTAACAATATCATCTCATCTTCATTTTTACTTAACAATATCATATATATATTACAATATATAAATAATTAAATATATAATACATTGCAAAGATAAATTTGGAAAATAATTAAATGAATTTGTCCTATATCTAACTGTTTTTCAATTGATGAAAGATAGAATTCCAGTTTTTAAATGTGGAAAGGATGATTAAAATTAGAACATTCCTATTGTGCATTATAAAATGTACAGATTAGTCAACAATCATCAGTGGATGAAACCAACAACAGAAGGAACGAGGCTGTCACCATCTGATCTAAATCAATGCCCCTACATATTGGGGGTCTCCTGATGGAATGCATATGAAACGCATAGAAACAACTAAAGTAGTCTAGTCAAAATCAGAGTCTAGATCTAATCAGTCTTTTTAAATAACTTTCATTCACAGGGAATATTAAGCATAGAAGAACAAGTTAACTAAAAGCACAATGAAGCAAACATTGCCATATTCAAACGGCAAAACACTGACAATGAGATTCTGACCTATTTCTGCCATTCTCAGTGGCATAAAGAATGTGTTTGAAATTTAACAAGAGTTACAAAACATAACTTTATATTAAATGGATTTTGTTATTGGATCAAAAATCCGGTAAATTTTGTAAAAGTAATTCTTGCAATTTGGAAAACACTTTTATGTATTTATGTGAATAATGTAGTATTATTTGATACCCAAGAATTTGTATTAAATTTTCTGTGGATAATTACAGTTTATTATTTTTATAAAAATCCATATTTTTAGAGATGACAAAACAACAGATTGTAGGAGTAAGGTGGCATGATCAAGTAGAAATCCTTCCATGCTTTTATATTGACTGCCTTAAAAATGCAGGAAATCATGCAGAAGTTTTAAACCTTCAGGTCCGAAGGTGGCTTAGGTTACTTCTACCTCCTATTCATTGGTGAGGACACAGTTACATTGTCCTCAAACACTGAGAAGGAAGATTGAAAATGCAGTCTTTCTGGATGCCAAAGAAAACTAGTAAAATGGTAAACACGTATCTACCACTGCCTTTTTCATTGTTTTTCTTAAGTAAAATATTTTTCTCAATTCAATAGAACATTACTATACATATTAAAATGTTAGCGAACTTACGTTAAGAGTTTATGACAGGTCCGGCACCCAGTTAAATCCCTTTACATGAATCAGCTCATTTAATTCCATTCCCAAAGCACCTATTTTAAGATGAGAATAATTAGCCTAAAAATGTCTTGCAGGTAGGAACTAAACTAGGTTGTGAAATCACACAGTCTGACTTCATGATGTCTCCCTAACAAGGTTGTTAGGATAATATATAAAAATATTGCAATATATTTCTTATTAAAAGAACTATATTTTTAAACCTAACCATCAAAACTAATGTTACATAATGTAATTAAAATTTTCAACAGAATTGCTGAATTTTGTTTTTTTACTTCATGAAAATCAAGTATATTTTCCTTATAATAGCTATTGTTTAGAGGTAGTTTTGAAGAAAATTGCTCAAACCTCAAAGTTAGACAAACCTAGGTCTGAAATTGTGCTCTAATACGTATTATCAAGTGGCTTAATTTCTTCAATCTTTTCTTTTTCATCAAGAAATAGATATAATTTTAAAAACCTTATAGGGTTGATTTAACAAGTATAACATGAGCTAAGAAATTAAAAGATGCCAGGATAAATGATAAACATATTAGTTATAATAAGGCCAATTTACATTTGATTTCAGCTATTCAATTTTAAATGTGCATGGTCTTATCTGTTCCTTATGAAAATCTCTATGAAATAAGTAGAGCAAATATTACGACCTCCATAAGCTACATAAGAAAACTAAGACTAGGGGCATAAATTACTTCTTTATGATTACACAGCTACAAAAGTCAGGCATGGCGGCCAATTTGTTTTAAGTTGTATTGTTGCAACTTTTATTTTCCACAATATATCAGTGTGCAGTTCTTTCTTGCACATCTCCTCAGGAGAAGTAAAATCTCTAGCTTTTCCTAGTACCTGAAATAGTATATGAAGAAGTTGAATGAACTGAAAAGTTCTGTAGAGTCTTTTATTAGCAACAAAAGCAGTACTTGAAAGAACATAGTCAATAGCTATTTAAGCTACATAATAAAAGGAGAAACTGAAAACATAATTGCGGATCCTCCACCAGAGCCTTTCAGAGTTAATACATGTCAAACCGCAAAGAACATTACAAACTGAAATCAATCAGTATTCAGAGAAATTCAGGCCAGTATTTGAATTCAGATATCAAATGCATCTGACAATATCTGTAAGCTATTCCTGGGACAGATTTAATTATTTGAATGAAACTAATGAAAATAAAAACTTTTATCAGAGTCTGTATATATAAATTATTGTTTTTCTGAAAACTACCAGGCTAATTACATTTGCTTCTAATAAATAATAATATTTATACCTTTTTTTTCTGAGACGGAGTCTCGCTCTGTCGCCCAGGCTGGAGTGCAGTGGCGCGAACTCGGCTCACTGCAAGCTCCTCCTCCCAGGTTCGCTCCATTCTCCTGCCTCAGCCTCCCAAGTAGCTGGGACGACAGGCGCCTGCCACCACGCCCAGCTAATTACTTTGAATTTTTATTAGAGACAGGGTTTCATCGTGTTAGCCAGGATGATCTCCTGACCTCGTGATCCACCCGCCTCAGCCTCCCAAAGTGCTGGGATTGCAGGTGTGAGCCACTGCACCCGGCCAATATTTATACTTTTATTGAGGGTGTCCTATATGAAAAATACTTTTCAGTTGATAATTTAATTTTCAAAATACCCTATACGGACTACTTTTTGCATTTCACGGATGAACTAATTTATAGAATAGTCAAGTGACTTCAAGGCGCATAGCTAGTAAGTAATAAATGCAAGACTTAAGCCACTCCTGAAGTTAAAGACCTAAGTCTCCATCACCAAACTATATGTCCCTGTTTATAAAGGTGATCTCTGTGGAGCATAGGAGTAGGTTAAGGAATGATGTTATTAAAAATAGTAAGTAAAAAAAATTATACATTTATGACTAGGTATAAAAATTACATAGTTATTTTGGGCAAGGCAACTTAAATGGATCTGAGTGTCTTATGAGTTTGGGATGGTACTAGACAGATGTATTCACAATTACTAAATTCCAACAGTAGAAAGTTACAAGATTTTTGTTTTTTGTTTTCAGTATGGCAAAACACAGTTTGGAACTTCTCCAAGGTAACATATTATGAGTTTAACAACATTATACTCAGAATTATGATAAATATTTAGAGTAATTAGGAAATATGTCTACATGTTTTAAGCCACTCTCTAAATTTCTACTCTTTTGAGAATTGTAAAATCTGATTTTAGGTGACCTTTTTGAACTGATGGCATTACAAACTGTGCTGCCGATATGAATTTGGGAATTTCATTCTTTATCTGGAGAATTCACCTTTAAGCCAGATACCTTGACTAGCCTCTATCATTTTATAATTTATAGTTGGTTTTGTTTTGCCTTTAATGCTCCACAGAAAAGTTCACTACTTGTTGTAAATATCAACCCAGTTGCTCAGCCTGCCATTTCACAGGTCGTTATGAATCTGACTTTACAAAATAGAATAATACCTGTCAATCTCGTTTTTTTCCCTGTTGGTAAATAATTTATTTGTTCTTATCAATCCATCCACTCGGAATGCTCTTGTTTTGCCCCCCATTTTTTCCACAAATACCTTATGATTCAGTTCTACTGTACTTTATACTTCTCATACTTAAAAACTGATTGTGAAACCTCTGAAGTTTTATGTATAAACTTTTTTTTGTATGAGTGAATTCTTCAGTTATTTCATATGGTTTTAACATGTCTTTAAAACTTAAGTGGGAGCAAGAACTACGTCTAAATACTCACTGGAATTACTAATTCCAGATCTTTTCATGTCGATTACACAATTTAGACACTTATTGCAAGAAAGGTTTGCATGATTGTGTGAGAAAGCTAGGGAAATGAATCCATCTTTTATCTTTATTTTAAAAGTTCTAAGTAAAAATTAACTCAAATGTTTATAAAGTACTAATGATAGCAAATGATCTTGACATAACAACATAAAATCTAAACAAGCTACTTAAAAGTAATCAGTAGGCTAAGATCCTAAAACATAGATTTCAATTCTAAGTAATAAAATAAAACATTTTAATACCTTCTCTATTGCAAATTCTAAAATGGAATTGGAGTATACCTAATTCTAATTGTCCTGATCTTCATAATATTTTGCAAGAAAGACACTGCTGACTTTCAATTGTTTTATGTCTTTTTTCAGAGAAAGTGTTTCCATTCATGATGATGCTCACTCTACTTCGATGTTCCCAATGTCCAAAACAGTGCCTGATACAAAAGAGACAATAAATCAGTAGTTCTCAGCCTTTTTTGATACCTAAAAGAATCATCTGGATTACTGGTTAAGAAAGAGATTCCCAGAAAGTCAGTGGTTTTTGTGAGGCACTTGTATTTGCATTGTGAAACAGGTGGTACGGGTAACTCTGATGCTCATGGTCCATGGACCATACTTTCAGAAATGGTTTAATAAATTAGCAAATGCCTGGTTGTAATAGAGTTTATCAAATGGCCAATGAAAGCTCAGGAAATAAGTCCTATGTTTTGCGGAAGACATAAAAGTTTCAAATAAGACAACTTGAGGACAAAATGCAATGATTATTTAAAGGAAAAAGGAGAAAGCACTGAGAGAAAATTGGAAGAATGCCGTTGAGCAGAAGTATATTGATGGCATTATATCATCATTATTTATTCTACTACAGTAATTGTCAGCATTTTCTTTTACAGTATTTTTTCCTGTTAGAAGGAAGTTCTCAGCATTAGTCACAGCCAAAGAGCAATGGGTGTTGTCCTGGGGAGTAAGGTGCCTGAGAGCATTAGTGTCAGTTAAGAATGATAGCCCCGCAGTTCCTGAAAAAGGTCAAAGAGAGAAAGGTGACACTGACTCAGGTTGAGAATAGGAGGATGTATTCTGTCATGCTCCAAGCAGCCTTGTCCCTGAGGAGACAGGTAATGAGAGAGCATCATTCACAGTGTGTTACCAAGCCCCCAATGGGGATTAGTTTCATCTATGAGAAACACCTGAGAAGATTAAAGATATTGAAGCATTTCCTACTGAAGAGTATTTAAGACGTTTTCTTAAATATAAATTATGTCCAAATTTTTGTCTTGTCCTCTCAGAAAAAAACAATTCTGAGGTTGCTGTCTCTATTCTTTTAACGTATCTTCCTGTTATTTTTTCTGTATTCTCATGTTTTACTGGCAAGCCATGATTTTTTAAGACTTGAGGTAGCCTCTTCCAACATGAAGTGGCAGAATTCTAGCAAGGCCTTTCTAATATTTTTAAACCGTCTAAAAATTGCGAGATGACTCCAGTTTTTGCTAGAATATCAAAATGGCCCCAAGCAATGTTGGAAAATTTGTGATGTTTGCTTTAAACATTCCTTTTTTGTGTGTGTGACCTTGGTAGAAAACCTCTGAATGCCTGCTGAGTCAACTAGAGCCCAATATCTCCTAATATTTCCAAAACATTTTCTATCCCCTATTTGGTTCAGTTAAATTAGATAAGCATTAATTTAACATTGACTGCAAGCCAGGAATTAGCTACAAAATCAGTACTCAAAGAAACAAAGCTATACAAAACAAATGAGACAGAGACTCTGGCTTCAAGAAATGCAGTTCAGAGAGTGATACACGTATCCAAATATATAATAAATGACATCTTAAATCCTGTAATAGCAGAAAAATGGTAGGAAAACTAAGCCTAAATTGACCTAAGGGAAATTTATTAATTACAGAAAATTTTAAGAGTGAGTTTAGTTTTAGGCATGTTGTGTGAGAAGGTCATGTGATATACTAGGGCATATAATTCTCTTTGTAATGTGGTTTGAGGTTACCTATGTTGCCTCTGATTTTAAAATGGATTGGCTTCCGGTATTTCTAGAGCTATTTCCTTTCAGCTTCAAATCATTCAATAAAATGAAAGTATTTTAATCTCAGAATAATTAGAGTCTTCAGATTCATGTGTTTAGAATTATTTAGTCAGGTACCCAGATTTGAATTAATCACTGGGGATATGTTACATTGATTAAGTTTGGTGTGGATAATTTGTTCCAATCATTGAGCTGGGATAGGTCCACAGATAGATCTTGTAGAATGAAAAGATGTTGCCGTATATCCCCAGGCCAAAAGTACAAATGTTAGCATTTAAAAGGAGGAATGCATTCTAAAGAGATCATAGGACAGGTTCCTAACTCTGCCTCTGACGGGGAACGACAGAGATAATTTTTGAAACCTTTTGAGGTGCATAAAACAAAGGAAAGGATTTACTATTCTGCAACAAAAAAACTACTCCCGCATCTTAATGGCATAAAAAGATGTTTATTTCTTGCTTACACAACATCTGCCATGGGTCTGGTAAATTCTCCAGAGCAGTGGTATATCATGTGGTTGTTCAGATTCCAGGCTTCATTGATCTTGTTGAACCTCCATTTTAACATACACATTCTCAAGAAAGCTGGATGTATGGGGTTGTCAATTAAAAATGCCATTTCATCGCTACTCGATTATGTCATTTCTGTTCATAATGCACTGAATAGAACTAAACATGTTACGCAGAGATGTATAACCCCCTCTTGTCACTTAAATGTCCAGAATTGAACCATGACCCATTGACCAGAACTAGTTGCATGGCCCCATCCCACCATATTAGAATGTAGCAACATCAAATCTTCCTCTGTGTCCAGAAGAAAATAAAACTAAACATGAGTGATTATTTTAAACCTCTACAAGTTCTAGAACTGTCCAGGTGAGGGAATAGGAAGAGCAGGGCCAAGAAGGTGTAAAATAGTATACTGAGTTCTTGGAGCAACATGGAGTCTAGCATTTTTGAAATGTCAAACACAGAGTGGAAATATGGAAGAGTCTAGAGAGTTGCATATGAACCAGGTTACACAGCAATTTACAAAGCAGATGGTGATTTCATCATGAAGTCTATCTTGATTTACTCTAAATTTAATCAGAACATTAACTTTTAGAACTTTTTAAAACATATTCTATTTGTCTGTCTAAAATATTGCCCAATAAGATTAAAAGTTATCTAGGGGTATACGCATACCTTGCTCTTGGGAATTCCTCTACTGCCAGCAAGAAGAAATTTTAATTATGGCTAAACTGGATAACTTCGATATGCTACCATATGATTTATACCTTGTGGAAACACTCAGACATCATGTAGTAGCCACAGCTGAATGACTTTGAAGAGTATTAGCAGCCTGGATCTGGAGTCCTTATCAGTCTCTACCGTAGGTTTTATCGTGGCATTGGGTTTATTATTTCATTGGCTGAGGAACTTAATTCCCAGTGCTGTCAGTCAGATACATAAAACAGGATCACAATTCATTGTAACATATTTAAAAAGTGAGACTTCAGAGATAAGTGCTGAAAATGAAAGGACATATTTGATTATGTTTTAAACTTGCTTAAAGTTTTGTTGATAAATTGAAATGTAAACAGTACAAACAAACTTTTTGAAGGTTCATTAATCCTAGAAAGAAGAATCAGAATGTTTAGCTTTCTAGAAAAATGAAAGGCTAACAGGAAAAATAGCTATAGGAGAGAAGTAGAGAAGTTTTATTTAAAAATTTTGCTAAAAGTAAAAAGACTTCCATAAAGACTCTGATTTATGACTATGTCAAGACATTGACCATTAAATATGTAAAAATAATTTACTTCTTTATATCTGAGTTTTTACATTTACACATTGAAGTATAGGAATAGACCATATCTAATGTAAGGATTTATAAAGGCATATATCTTGTTTTCTAAGTTTAACAATTATTGAGCACTAACATTAATTTAATTTGATTTGGTTTGGAGATTACCTAGATAACATTTCTGGTTGTGGTTTTGTTTAGAAGAAATTTTTATCAAACCTCTGAATGGCCCTTCCTTGCTGACTGAGTAATGGTCAGTATTTGAATATCTTTAGAAGGGGTGTTTGTATAACTTGAAAACACTAGAACTGCACTGGACCTGGTCCCTCATGGAATCATTTAAAAAATACACATTACAGTAAACAAAAATAATAATAAGGCACTTATTATTTAGATCTTTAAGAGCCTTTAAAGAGGTTCAAGTAATGAGGTTCAAGACAAGTGCTGCCAAAATACACCACCTTGGCATCTGAGAAAATAGCAGAGGCAGGAAGATCTCTCTGAGACCCCTTCTTCCCTGAAGTGTGTCATAAGTCCTAGCTGACCTTCCCCTGGAAGTTGCTCATAAAACTCATTCCAGAGCATTCCTCCCTATGCCCAGAGGAAAGGAGTGTCCTCATCTGTGAAGACACAGAGACATCAATAAGAATCTGACCAAAAGACCTTGCTAAATTCCCACCCATTTATTATCATTAGATCCTACCCTTTTGTCTTCCAATCATGAATGTCCATAAAAATACTCATTTTTCTATGTTTCTTTGGGTCTTTCTTTCTGAAGGATCCCGTATTATGTAAAATATATATTAAAACAATTTGTGTGTTGTTTTCTTATTAATTTGTCGTTTGACATAGAGGTTGCAGCCATAAACTTCGTGATGGATGGGGAAAAAGATATTACCTTTCTCCTCTACAATAGTAAACCAGAGCAACAATTCTAATTTATTTATTTATTTAGAGACAGAGTCTCGCTCTGTCACCCTGGCTGGAGTGCAGTGGCACGATCTTGGCACACTGCAACTTCCACCTCCCAGGCTCAAGTGATTCTCCTGCCTCAGCCTCCCGAGTAGTTGGGATTATAGATGTCTGCCACTACACCTGTCTAATTTTTGTTAAAAACAGAGACACTGACCTCAAATGATCCTCCCTCCTCGGCCTCCCAAAGTGTTGGTATTACAGGCATAAGTCACTGCACCCAGACTCAATTCTTAAAATCTTATTTCTCAATCCCTGGTCTGCCATAGTCCATGGTTGCTCCAGAGATTCTCTCACAACAAAATGCATCTAGTGTAACCTGCCTGACTTTCCTCTTTCTTTATCCCCCTATGACGTGCTGCAGCTGTGCTATGTCCCTAATAGGATTGTCTACAAGTATTCCCACCCCTGCCTAAGGATACTGCCTGGCTTCTCCAGGATGACCCTCTACTTCCTGGTCTTCCTGTGTTCCTCATGGATAGTTGTGCACACAACCTCGTGAGAAGGAATTTTTTCTACTCATCTGACTCATGGGTTTCTATACTGCATGGCAAATCCTCTCCTGTTTATTTCTTTGTACTACTGGGATAAGGCTAATTTCCTTTAAGCATTTCTTGGAGTATTATCAAGCTCAGGTTTGCTGTATCTATCAGATAACGCTCTTGTAAACTTGGGAAAGGGAGAAAGGAGACATGTCAGTGAGAGTTTAATCCCTTCTCACTTGACAGCCATTGAATAAAGCAACTGAAAAAATAAAACAAGATGGTATCCTAGAACAGTCATTTTTTAATTAGTGATCACTTCCATGAGATTATCTTACATTCCCCAATTTCTGGGAAGTTCAGGTAGATTATCGAATTTGCCCTACCTTTGCTATTTCTTTAATGTGTCAGAAAATGGTCAGTTGAGAATTCACAGTACTCTTATTACTTCCCCTGTGTACATACTTGAAGCAGATTATACATCTGAATATTGGATAAAATTCCATCTGCAAAATTGGAGAACCATTTATACTTCCAGCTGGGACCTCACTTTGGAAATGTAACTTCAAAAGCATTTGAGATGTACTCCTCTTCTATCTTGCTCTGAAACCTGGCCCAATGATGTAGATGTGAAATTAATCATTCATAATCTTCATTGCCTGATATTCTGTCTTTATTCAGATAAGTTCACAAATAACTGTAATTCACATTTCCCTCCAATGTTATCCTTCACATTTCCCTCCAATGTTATCCTTCTCTTTAAAAAAATACATGATTGTATAGCAAATCTTGCTACAGAAGTTCTGCATGGACTTAACCTGTTTCTCATTCATCAAGCTTTCCTCTTTCTCACCCTCTAAAAATATTGCCATAAAATTTTCTTGATCTGAACTGGACAGAAAAACAACTTTTCTTTTCTTTTCCTGAACAACTACAAAGTAAAAACATAAATGGGAGACAAGGAAAAAAGTCCTCATAAAAATGGAAATTATATTAGTCCGTTCTCACACTGATATAAGGACATACCTGAGACTGGGTAGCTTATAAAGAAAAGAGGTTTAATTGACTCACAGCTCCACATGGGTGGAGGGGCCTCAGGAAACTTATAATCATGGCAGAAGGCATCTCTTCACAGGGTGGCAGGAGAGAGAGAATGAGTGTCGAACAAAGGGGGAGAAGCCCCTTATAAAACCATCAGATCTCATGAGAAATCACTGTCACAAGAACAGCATGGGGGTAACCACTCCCATGATTCAATTACCTCCCACTGGGTCCCTCCCATGATGTGTGGGAATTATAGGAACTACAATTCAAGCAGAGATTTGGGTGAGGACACAGCCAAACTATATCAGAAATCATTATATCATTATGACTTTGAGTCCATGGATGATTTTTGTAGGTGTCTCTTTAGATACCATGCTATAAATTTTTAATGATGAATGATGCTAGTAGCAAAATTTAACATAATTCAAAATCTTATTTTCCTCAACTTGGGCATGTTATTTTCTTCAAATACCTCTAGGACCTACCCTAAGAAAACTTTCTGAACCATTATTGTGAAGGGATTAGTATATGCCAAAACATTGCTCCCTTCAGCCCTCAGAAAGAGCTGAGCAACTCTGAGGTAGCTCTTAGCTATAGGCAGCCTTGTTGCCTCAGGCTGAAGCCACTTTGCCCATATACTCTAATGGACTGTATAAAAATTATTATTTCCTATTTGACCCATGGTATAAGAAAAAATGCGATGTACTGATTCACATTTCCAAAATTCTGTAATCACAATTTCTATTGTAATATCCAATTTTCTAGTGGAGTTAGTCTTTGCAAAAGGGTAGAGTGGACTTGAACTAATCTGAGTAAATTTGTTATTTTTTTCCTCATGCCATCCAAAAAGAACATGACTTGTTAAGAAACTGTGTGTTTGCATGAAAGAGTTCATCTCTTTACAACTTCTCATGGTCATTTAATTTTTTTCTTAAAAAATAAAAAAACTAAAAAATTCCTTAATTAAATTAACTTGCTTAATTTTTATTTTTCACATTTACCATCTAGTTGCAAAATATACATTTTAAACATTATTCCAATTTTTACCTAGAAATTGCCTCTTCAATAATTTTTGAGTTTGAGATTTTACTTCAAGAATGATGACTCATATAAAATTGGTTATTTATATTCTAATTGCAGTAATATAGCAGCCTTGTTAGAATGAGTCGGCAAGGTACTAGAACTTACGCATTCAATTTTTAGCAGACAATAAAATATAAATTAAATAAATGGCAAGCCAAATTCCTGCTCCTGTCTTGGCTCAGTCCTTTTGTGTAGTCCCAGAGCAAGAAACAGGGTCCAAAACCAAAAGTAATTTAAAAGTAGTTAGTGATTTCCAATGTAAGCTGAGGCTCAAACATCACTAAATTTAACCAATTTCCAACTCAGAGAAGTATTTCTCTTTTTTTCAGAATCTTCTTTGCTCCCTTCTGGGATTCCTAAAATTCATGATTACTCACAAGATTTCTTCCAATCTCACACATTAAAAAAACCTAAAAATAAAAACAAATAAACAAATAAAATTAAAATTCTCTGTGTTCTCTACTTAAATGACTTTTCTTTTTTAACTTTTCCTTTTCTCAATGTTAATACTTCCTCCTGCCATACATGGCAATAGATTTTCTGCTGCTACAATTGGCCATGCCCTGTTGTTTTGGGTATTTGAAGGGTCTAGGAGGTCTATGCTTCTTCATATTCACTTATGTTAATTTATGAAAAAGAAAGAAAGGAAGAGAGGGATGGAGGAAGGAAGGAAAGAAAAGGAAGGAAGGAAGGAAAAGACAAGACAGGGAGAGAGGAAAGTTGAGAAGGAGAGAAGGTGGGATGGAGGGAGGGAGAGAGAGAAAGACAAGAGAGAAGGAGAGAAAGAAAAAACATTCACATAGTCCATTTGGAAGTCCTGCACTTTTGCTCAGTATGCTTTTTTGAAACAAAATTCCTTCTTAGACTTTGTGGTCAATCAAATTATTCACCTAGTTACAGTTTATATACTAAGAAAAATAGGGATCCAAGAACGTATGCCATTATTAGCAAATTGGAAATTGGAGTCTAAGTAAAAGAAAAAGGTAAAAGAGTGAGATAAGGAATGGGTGTATATTATATGCATTACACTTTGAAACTTCAGAAAACCATCATGAAATTCAAAAGAAACTACCTAATATTGGAAATTGATAAAGCTGATTAGAAAATCACTACTTAAGAATTACTCCATAACACTATAACAGATGATATATTTTATCTCATTCCTATTAACAGTTTCACAGAATAGATGATAAGTCTGGATTTTACAGTGATGACTGATTCTCAAAGACTGATTGAAGTCACACTATTAGTAACTGGCTGAGCCAGGATGACAGGAGCTTTCTTTAAGTAACGTATCTATTTAATCATTTCCACAAATCTATAAGATATTTTTCACTTTCATTTTACCAATCATAAAACTCCAGCCAGAGAATTTAAGCCTTCTAAAACCATCAAAGCAGCACATTATTTGCATTGAAACTTTTGGATCACCCTGGTAATATAGGTATTGACAAAGAGTCTCTCATTAACCAAACTTTAGTCAGGCTTTTCTGAACTTTAGGCTCTGACTTTGAGGTTTCTGTGTTCATCTCTGTTTATGTAACCGCCCAATGGCTACTCCTTGCCTGCTGCCCAGACAGAGCCAACTTGTCAAGACAGAGAAATTGCAATAGAGAGAGTTTGATTCACACAGAATTGGCTGTACAGGAGATTGGAATTTTACTTTTACTGAAATCAGTCTCCCTGAAAACTCAAGGACTGGGGTTTTTAAGGGTAATTGCTGGGTAGGGGGGTCAGAAAGTGGGGAGTCCTGATTGTTTGGGCCAGAGATAAAATCACAGAGAGTGGAAGCTGTCCTCTTGAGCTAAGTAAGCTCCTGGGTGGGGGCCAGTTTTACTCACCCAGGAACTGACTCAGTGCAAGAGGATAGCTTTATCATTCTGGGTGGTGTCAGGTAATCCATTGAGGACAGGGTCTGCAAAATATCTCAAGCACTGATCTTAGGTTTTGCAATAGTGATGTTATCCCTAGGAGCAATTTAGGGAGGTTCAGAATCTTTTAGCCTCCAGCTGCATGACTCCTAAATCATAATTTCTAATCTTATAGTTAACTTGTTAGTCCTGCAAAGACAGTCTAGTCCCCGTGTAGGAAGGGGTTCTGTTTTGGGAAAGGGCTGTTACCATCTTGGTTTCAAAGTTAACCTATTAAAGTAAGGTCCTTCCACAGTTAGTTCAGCCTATGCCCAGGAATGAACTAGGACAGCTTGGAGGTTAGAAGAAAGATGGAATCAGTTAGGTCAGATCACTTCACTATCGTAATTTTCTGTTATAATTTTTGCAAAGGTGGTTTTATTTATCAAATTTTAATAAGAATCATGCTAAGTCAGGTTAGCCAGAATCCCATACCCTCAATATACAATCACCCTTGATATATGATCAGGTTCCTCATGTTCCACCATTCCCTTGGTGATGTTTGATCACTCTGGCCTGCTTTCAGCAAGAGTCTTGTTAGGTCATTTTAGCCCAGAATCTCGTCTTGTCCCTGAATTTTCCTGTTAGTAATTTTCAATCCATTGACCCTCACCCTACTCTTTGGCTGTAACTGCTAATTTTCCTTGCTGTATTCAGAATTGAGCCTCATCTCTCTCTCTCTCCTACTAAAAAACTCCATTGCAGTAGACCCTCCCCTTTACCATTCTTGAATCATGATAAATATTCTTAATAGTGTCAAATATATATATGTAAATTTGTGTATTTATGTATATGTAATTTATGTATGGATTTATATACATGTATATGGAAACAAATTTACATATAAAATGTTTATATAACCATACATGTAGCTTCATGCACATATATACACAAAAATATATAAATATAACATACACATATATGTATGAATAACATACATAGAAATAATTGCAAAAATATAATCATATTATTATGCTCTATTTTCATTTCATCAATAAATATTTAAAACCCTTGTGTGTTTTTATCTATGAGCATAAGCTGTATGTGTATATATTTTTTTCATACACTCACACACACAAATATGAACTTATTTCTAAGTCATCAACTAGGGATAAATTCATACGAAGTCATGTATTCAATCACCTATTTTTGGACATTTAGGGTACCCCATTTGAAAATTATTATTGTTGTATTTTAATATTTTTCCACATACATGGAATATTAAAATAAACATTCCTTTGGTAAAATAACAATACACTAAATGCAGTGAAATAACTGAGTAACATTTTAAAAATTTAGATATAGATTATAAAATGTTATATAATAAGATCAAACCAGTTGTAGTTTATGAAAGTGTTCCTTTCTTCTACTCTGTAAATCTTTTGCTAATATTTTCAAATATGATGATATCCCAGATGACTCAGTGAAAAGTTGATATCAATATTTTGGTAATTTATATTATGATTTTTACTTGTATCCAATACTTCCTCTTATTTATTGGTCATTTGCAAGTCCAGTACCTCTCCAATCTCAAGTACTTCGCTCATCTTTTGTTTTTTTTCTTGCTATTTTTCTGGCTTAGAAAACCTCAAAGCTCATTTAATTGAACCCTACCTTCTCTAGGTCTCCAGGTGAACATAGGTGAAAAAAGAAAATACCGTCTCACTTTTGAAGTGTGACCGCTAAGTACTGCCATTCTTTAGTATAGCCTGGCAATCTCACTATAGTTCCAAGTTCACTCATGCTTTTTCTGTCCTGGATGACTCTTTCACAGCTTCTCTCTTCTCAACTCTCCAAAACTTTTACCATTTGCTGTTTCCCTAAACTCAGCTCCATCACACGGGCATCCTCTTATTGTCCCTGAAACTTACTAAACACATTTAATGTTGTGTTTTTGTCTTCTGTCTGGAAAATGCTTTGTCCACATGATTCATGGCCTTATTTCATTCACATATATTTCTCTGAGCATCCCATGTTAACGAGCAGCTCTGAAACTGCAAACCATATGGCCTAATTCTCTTACTCCACTTTATTATTCAGCATTACATTTATCCCATAATGGACTTGGTTATTGATTTTATTTCCTACTACTAGAATTTCATACTCTTGAAACACATAGATTCTTTTATGTTCATTAGTTTATTGCTATATTTGGAACCTAAACCATACAAAGTAATGCATTACGTATACTAAAAAAATTAACTTGCCTTTTTTTGGTCAGTTGTCTATTCAACTATTTGCCTTTTCTTTCTTTTTGATTTATTTTTTGATCCATTAAACTTTTCTAATAAATTTATCTGGAGTTTTTATGCATTGAAATTATAAAGCTTTCCTTAAATGTGTTAAATTTCCCAGGGTTCTGGTAGTCTTTATTATTTCTGATATAGAATGACAGATATTTTGGATTTGTATTTATATAAGTTTGTAAACTGTCTACTTCTCTCTGTGATTCTCTCTGTGATTCCATTTTTAGAAAGCCTTTTTCTTTTTCCAAATGAGAGCACTATTTCTATTTGTTATTTATTATATTGTATATGTTTTACTTCACATTTATGTTGAATATTCATGAATTTTATTTTGGTTTATGGTATAGAGTAAAAACTAAGTTTCTTATGCCACTTTTGCCACATTCCATATTCCTATATACTTTTGAGTCTGTTACAGACATTCCTGGTATATTCTTTTTGATGATCTTTTTATTCCTGCAGCTGAGCCTAACTTTTCAATATTCTAAACGTATAAAGTTTTATTAACTTAGGATGAATACATTCCCTCTTGTCATCTTCCTTTCTCAAATTTACTTTAAACATCCTTGTTCAATACTTCTAGACAAAATTTAAAATAATTAAATGCTCCCCAGCTTATCCCCAGAAAAATCTAGGAATATTGATGTTTTCATTTCTTAATTACTCTGATGAAAGTCAACATCTTTTAAGCATTACTTTTTGTTTGTTTGTTTGTACAGCAATATGACATGTTTTTCTATTTTAAGGTGACGTTTTGTCCTTTAAATTTAAATTTAACATAAAATGTTTACTTGTATATACAAGGTTATGATTATGGAAACAGAAAATAAGCAGCAAAATCTTAGAAAAAAGTAAAACTTAGTGTAATATACAATCTTTTTCTTTACTCTTAATAAGTCATGGAAAGTCCTACCCACTTCTCAGAAGTAAACATGTGTAACATTTTGTAGTGTAGTATTTTTAACTTTTCTGCATGTTTAAGTAAATATAGGTACATAGCTGTAGAGTAAATATCAAAGCATTTTGGAACTTGCTTTTACATTTGAAATAGATTTTTAAGGATAATAGGTGTGACTGTAAACCATTGCTTACAGTTTTGTGTCGTATGCCAAATATTCAATAGCATATTTCAGTGGTTCTCACCAAGGCCTAGACCCTGATTAGGCCGCCTGTAAGTTTCTGATGATTTTGGTGAGTGGTGCACCCAGCACTGGTATTCTTACAAACATTTTAGGTAATTCAAATGTGTACCTAGGATTGGTAACTGCCACTTAATGTGAACCGTGATTTCTTAACCAATTATTTATTGATGAATGTTTGGATCCCACTAAGCTAGATTTTGCTGCACTAACAAACAACCCCAACACCTCCCTGGATTAACACTATAGAAGATTATTTCTTCTTATGCTATATGTCTAATACAAGGAGATGGGCCTGAGGCTGTGACTGGCATTAGGGCTTTTCATAGATATTTGGTGTTATCTCTTTGTCCAAGCAGATGGAGAATAATTAAAACATGGAGCAGAGTCCTTAGAGAGCCCATGAGTATTTTGCATGAGTGAGAAATAATCCTTTATTGGATTAAGCCATGGATGGTCTCATCTGGAAGGTTTTAATTACTACAGCAAAATGTAAGCTATCCCAACTTAAAAGGGATGTCTGCTCATTGGAGTTACCCAGCAGCCCAGGCTAAAAAACACTTTATCTCAACCTGACTGCCAATAATCATACAAAAGTAGAAAGGGATGGAGTGAGTGAAATGGGGTCTATTTTTTTTTAAAGCTTTAGAACTAGAAATGGCGTTTATCACTTAATCTCATATGGCCAAAAGCAACCTAACCCCCAAAGACTTTGAATTCATTATATGATTGGAATATGAAGAGCCAGATATATTTGGTAAGCAGCTCCAGTGGCAATCACAATGGCAATACTCTTCCTATGTATAAAGAATAGCAAAGGAAAGAGTCACATATTTAGATCTACATGCTTTATATCTTTACATTAAAATAATCAGAAATTTATTTAGGGACATAAATTATCACAGCACCTGATGATCTATTGGTGAAAAAATAAATAAATAAATGTCATTAGGTGTTATTCCTTTTTGACATACTATTGATACAGGAGGGGGCAGGGAAGTGCTGGGTAGAGGAGAGTTGGGTTCCTGGCCAGGGCTCCAACCTCAGGCCCTGTGCGCATGGACCTAAGTGAGAACAAGCACTCCTGTTTTCGTGCCCGAATGTTGCATTTTTCCCAGACATCTCTGGCCCACCACGCCCTCCACCTTGTGCCCATATAAACCCCAGACCTTAGCAGACAAACACACAAGCAGCTGAACATCGAGACCAGCAGACCAACAGACCAGCAATGGTGGAAAAAAGCGGCAGAGAAAGAGAGAAGAGGAGGGACGTTTAGACACTGAGGGGAATTCAGCCGGGGGCAGTTGGAGAAGAGTCCGGCTGCTGGGAGACCCGACTCCAGGGGGAGACGACCTTATCCCCGCATCACTCCTTCCAACTCCCCATCCACCTCGCTGACAGCCACCTCCACCCCTCAATACAAATTTGCACTCATCCTTTAAGCCAGCGTGTGATCTGATTCTTTCAGGATACTGGGCAAAAGCTCAGGATACAGAAGGCTGTCACACTGACCCTCTGCCCTTGAGATAAGGCAGAGGGTCAATTGAGCTGATTAACACACAAGCCATCTGCAGATGGCATATCTGAAAGAGCTTTGTAACACATGCCCACTCGTGCTTCGGGAGTCGCAGACATACAGCCCTAGATGCTGCCATGAGGCTGGAGCCCAAAAGCGCTCGTGCCGACCCGGCCTCTGCATCTGCCCATCTGTATGCTCCCCATAGGGGTTTGAGCTAAAGGGTGACCAAGCAGGCAAGCCACACCTCTGTCGCATGCCCTGGGATGGGAATCAGGGAACTTTCCTGTTTCGCTATCTAATAATTATCAATGATAAGTTTGTTGTAAGTTAAATGTATTGCATATGTATGGATTATTTTAAGGTGAAAACATAGTAAAAGAAGTAAAAAAAAAAATGAATGGATTATAGAGTCCCCTAAATCTATGTTCAAATCCCAAGTTAACCTGTTAACCACACTGGGCCAAGATTTAATTCCTCTAAGCCTGTTTATCCACCAGTAATACATACCATGATGTTGCGTATCTCTTACAATTATGTGAGATAATGTATATAATGCACCAAGTACATTGGCAAGTTCATAGAAAGGACTCAAGAAACAGTGTATTACTCTGAACCCCCATCTTTCTTCCATGCCTCATGACCCTAATAAATTTTATATCCATAAATATAAATGTAACTTTCGTGTCAGAATTAAGAGAAATATAATACTTAGTTGCAGATTTCAAAAAGAAAGAGAAAATAAATGATATCACAAGCAAAGTCAATTACCTTGGCAAGAAAAAGTCAGGCTACCCAGCAATAAACATCCCTGCCAGATAGAGTTATTTCTTCACCTTTTTAATTACATCAGTTCATTTGCAGACATAAAGAATCAAAAAGAAAAAAGAAAATGCAGGTCGATGTGTGTGACAGCGAAAGATAAGATCAAATGAAAGTTCTGTGGGAGCCATTTTGACATATCCTGGGTCTTGTTAAAGCGGCAGGGCATCTGAAAAGTTTTGATTCTGTTATGCCACAAGGCATTGAGCAGCATATTTAGTGGAAATGAAAGAGGACACCTATTGCTCCTCGAGTGCTTTCTCCTAAAACAGGCAAGGACACAGAATTCAGAGAAGCTTTTTTTCTTTTTTTTCTTTCCCCCCAATGAAAATTGCATTCTTTTACCTTTGCCTTTGTTTGTGACAAGGCCTTTTTCTCGTTACCTCAAGAATAATTTCAAAAAAAAAGTAGATAAAACCCAGCAGAGACTTTAAAAACTAAAAGTGTTCAACTTGAATTTTACATACTTACTCTTTGACCCCACATTTATGAGGAATATTTTCCTTACAAATACAACACATTTTTACAATTACTTCTGAAAATGATTTTTAAAAAACAAGCTTATGCATACTTTTAAGGGTAAAACAGCATAAGAGTTTCATCTAAACACTGAATCAGGAAAAATCTCAAAACAAAACAAAAATAATTATTTGTCTGGGTGTGGTGGCTCACGCCTGTAATCCCAGCAGGCCAAGGTGGGTGGATCACCTGAGGTCAGGAGTTTGAGACCAGCATCACCAGTATGGTGAAATCCCATCTCTACTAAAAATACAAAAATTAGCCGGGCGTGGTGGTGTGCACCTGTAGTCCCAGCTAGTCGGGAGGCTGAGACAGGAGAATTGCTTGAACCCCAGAGGCAGAGGGTGCAGTGAGCTGAGATCGCACCATTGCACTCCAGTCTGGGCAACAGAGCAAGAGTCAGTCTCAAATAATAATAATAATAATAATAATAATAATTTTTATAACCTATAACACACAGCAGATATTCCCAAGTTATTAAATGGCAGATAATGATAGTTAATAATTAGTCAAGGTAATTTGACTGCTTTAGGTTTCTGCTTTTGGTATCACCAATAATATTTACAAATTTTTGGTTTTTCTTAATATATAGATGGCTCATTTATTAAATTTCATATAGCATAGGACTTAAAAGGACAATCAGTGTAATAGGTTGCATGAATAAATTCATGTTCTGTACCTCCGCCTGCTGGGATTGAGGACCAGAACA
Source organism: Homo sapiens (assembly GCF_000001405.40). Lineage (NCBI taxonomy): Eukaryota > Metazoa > Chordata > Mammalia > Primates > Hominidae > Homo > Homo sapiens. The sequence goes on along the minus strand of NC_000011.10, from coordinate 38,665,631 downwards.
AATACTATAAATTAAAATAAGAATAAATACAAAGATAGCCAATCAAGGAATTTCAGAGCATATATATATATGTATGTGCATATATATATGCATATATATGTATGTATATATATATATATGCATATATATGTATGTATATATATATGCATATATATGTATGTATATATATATATACATATATATATAAAGAACCATGTAGAAAGACTTTCTTTTTTAAGAGTTGAAGTAATAAAAAAGGGAAAGTAAACCGCAATTCTAGACATAATGCAAAAAAAAAAAAAATTCAGTGTTGTGAGGTCAGTCAGGGAAAATTCTGTGGCAAGACAGCAAAGATAAGTGAAAGTGCTGCTCAATGTAAAAAAAAAGTCCTAAGTAGCTGTCTAAAGGGTGTTTGGTAAATTTTGAAGTAGAAGAATGATGTTCAAAAAAATAATATGCAATTTAACTGTTATCATTTTGTGCAACAGAGTGTCCATATTCAAAAAGATCTGTGTCACAATTTTGTGAAAACATTGATAACCTGAACTGTATTTCAGAGGACAATAACCAGGATGAAGTGATTTGGCACAATTGTACATTACATGTGAAAAAGCTAATGAAATTTACACTAAGCAAGTATACTTTTTCTAAAAAAATGATTCTTGCATTCAAAAAGTGTTAGGGCTGCCATTTTGAATAGAAACTATGTTTTCTGTGTAACGTCTTACTACTGAAAATAGTAGAAATTGTAAAAAGTAAGTCTTGTCAAAAATATAAGAGAAATAAATGTCTTTAATGAAGCATTAGCTAATCACTATTGAGAATTTGCATTGTTGCGGGCACCATTGTATAAGCTTCCAATATATTTATCCATTTAAATGACACATCAGCTTGTTATTTAGAAACTATTATTTATGCCATGACACATGTGACAAAACTGAAATTAAACAGAAGTATTTTCTTTTAAAAGACAGAAACTTGTTTTATATAATATACATTAGAGCCAGAATTTGAACTAAAGCCCTCTGGTCAAAGAGCTGGTGATCTTAACTACCTCCTCATTATAAAACTTGATGCAAGGTGGTTGACCGTTTTAGCCCCTTAATGATTACAGAATTGAATCCAATGAGTGAAGTGCCATATTCAAGGCATACAGATTGGAAAAAGACAGCAAAAAGAACTCCAGAGTCTTGACTCTCAGAACAAGTTTGTTTTTCTCCTGTCGTTAGTTTGACTCATATTATTGGCCTTCCATTGCTTTCCTCAAATTATCTACATGGCAGTGTTTACAAAACTAAGGTTCCTATGATTATTGAAGAGCAAATGGGTGCTTAGGAAGAAATCCAAGGGACTGTTCAGTGACATTGTTCATTATAAGACTGAGAAATCAGAAGAAGCTCAGCAAAATACAGTCGTATTACTGACTCTTTGAGCTAATAATTGTTAGACTGTGAGAGTCTTTAGAATGTAGAAAGAAAACTTTCTACAGTTTTTTTATAATTCTGATATTTTAAATGGTATTCAAGGCAAGACTATACCTTGACAGTGAAATCAAAGAAGAGAAGGCAAGAAATGCATATCTAAGGCAAAAGAGAGCATAAGAATCATAAGGTTAAATTGCAGGCTAAAAAATACAGAACATCTAGATTTCACCTCCTTCAGTTCTTACCCAGGAAACCTCTTCTTCCTCCTCACTTCTTTTATTATTTCCTTCAACAAATATTTGATAAATGCAGAGGTAAATGTGCAGAGTTCCTGACTAAATGACTTATTTACCTTACTGTAGAGCGGCTGTGGAAAAAGACAAAATGCAAATTAACAATACAAGCATGCATGTTATGTACAAAGTGTTTCCCTTTCTGCATGTTGAAACTGATAATACATAACATGATGATTTCAGCAAACATGTTAGAGCATCAGATTGTGAGTACCGACACAGCCCCTGCTCAGGTTTTAATAAAGTATTCCTTTTCATTCATGAAGACCCACAAAAACGAGTTTCTGAATTTTGTGACTTGTAATTGTCTGAATGCCGAATCCTTAAGAAAGGCATTTGATTTTTTAACAGTAATGATAAACTTGTGCCATAACACTATACCTTCTTAGTACAAACTTCCCTCTTCTCAACTTGTCAACATAAAGGTCTCTATGTGTTGGACTAAAACTGTTCAATGTCAGCTTGATATTTATATTATATATCTAGAAATTAATGTTTGTCCTGAATAATGGTTCCATCAAAGATAACTGTTAACCATACTTTTTGGCGATATATGATACATGAATATTCCACTTATATAGTGGTAAAACATAAGAGAACTTGATTCACATGGAATTCAGCTGGAAATTGAAAGAGAGCATTAGAATTTTATAAATAAATTCCTGATTCTATTTTGCAATTTGGCCGACATGATTTTCTGCAATAAGTAAAGATTATCTAGGGAGTAAGAAGAACATGCAAATAGCATTTATAGTTTCCAATGGATTATGGGTTTCAAAGAGGCCTGTTAGATGACAACACAGCACCAAGTCAAAATGTATTGTGTGGGAAAGGAGTTTACAAAACTAGGAAACTGAGTTTTAGGAGACATTATCATAACACAGTTATAGGCATAGAAATATTAAGATGAAGTTACTAGGCTAAGATATAAATAAAACATGTATTGTAATATATGACTATATATATTACATAAATTTAGGGCAGAAGGAGAGTTAATCTGATGCTGAATTTCTGAATAGTTAAAAAGAGCTTCTAACATGCTTTCTTTCTAAGGCCAGAAATGGCCCTAGAGATTAATGTCTACTGATATCTGCAATAGTGGGTGGTGCGGAAGTTATGTCTTATTTATTTGTGTATCTAAGAAGCCAGGAAAGAACTTAATGCACAGTAAATGCTCAATATGAATACTAAGCAAACTTTGATAAATATAATAATCAGCTTTATTTAATTCTGAGGAATCTGAGCCTTCAGAAAATCTAAATAAATAAAACAAAAGTCCAAGGTACATCTCTGAATAGTAATTACTACAATAATATTATGAAACAAAATAAAACAAATCGGTCAGAAATAAAAGGAGAGAAATCATGCATATGGCACAATCAAGTTAAAAAGATGATAACTAAATTACTGAATAATGTGCTAAGCACATTATATAAATTATACCTTTTAATCCAACAAAAATTAAAAGTTTTATTAAAAAGCAGGTAATATTTTTATTTGCATGTTAGAAAATTGAGGTTTTGAGATTAGATTACAGGGCATGGTCACAAAGCTAGAAAGTTGTTGACTCAGAGATTTAATTCAGATCTGTCTCATTCCGTAACAGGTCAGAGTTTAGTAATCTGGAAAAGGAGATCTGCGGTTTCAATCCAAGTTGGGGAGTGCCATTTGGCATATGTGGACTATGTAACTCACTGGGAAACTGTGTCTCTTGCTGCTAAATACTAGTTGTGTATAATATATGAATTCTGTGTTATCGAAGTGCTTTGTTCCAGAAGGAGTCAGCTTCTCATTAGCAACCCAGGCAGCAAGCTGAATGTATTATAACTCAAAACCAAAATAGAATCTTACTTTCACATAGGTAAATAGAATCTTACTTTCACATAGGTAAATAGAATCTTACCAAAATAGAATCTTACTTTCATTTGAGCAACGCAGGAGAATATTAGAAGGTCTGAATTACATATGGCTGAGGGTATCAATAAGATAAAGACTGATCAAACACAGAATTAAAATAAAATTAGTTAAATTACTATTTCTGAGGCCCTCATGCATAAATAGAAATAAAGTGTAGAAATATATAAAATGTAACAATTTTAGAAAAATATATTCCCTTCTCTGGTATATATTTATACACACACATATAAATATATACACATGTATTTTATATACATATGTATTTTATATATATGAAATATTTTGTGAGGTGGGGTCTTGCTATGTTGCCCAGGAGACTGGAGTGAAGTGGCTGTTCACAGGCACAATCATCGTGGGCTGCAGCCTTGAACTTTTGGTGTCAAGCAGTCCACCCACCTCAGCCTCCTAAGCAGCTGGGACTACAGGTGAATGCCATTGGATGTGGCTCTCATCTTCAGTTTATGATGGAATGGGGGCTGGAGTAGGTGAGCTAATGGTATGGGATTGGTAATATTTTCATAATGAGAGACACAACAATAACAATGTAATAATGTGAAGGAAGTTGTTGTATGCAGACTTCCAGGATGGCTGCCAAAGATATTTTCCATTTGGTGTTAATGCCCTTATAGAATCTGTTCATTTGAGTGTGGGCTGGACATAGTGACTTGATGCTACCAATAAAAGACAACAATAGTGCTGAGATTTAATTTGTATGACTAAATTACAAAAGACTGCAACTTCTTTCTGAATGGCACATTCTCTCTTTATTGCCATTTTTGCTAGCATGCTTTGAAAAAGCAAGCTACCACAAGAGAAGTCAACACGTCAAAAAACTGGGGGTGGTTTCCAGCCAAAATCCATCGAGAACTGAGGCCCTTTGTCCAACAGCCCTTTAGGAATTCAATTCTGTCGATTAAATTTGGAACTCTATGTTTCTACAGCTGAGCCTTCAGCTGGGACTGTAGACCCTGAGCTGACACATTGATTCATTACAGACTTCTGAAAGAATATGAATCAGAGAATCCAAATAAGCCATGCCCAGGTTCCTAACTCATACAAACATGGAGATAATAAATTAGTGTTGTGTTAAGCCACTGAATTTGGGGTAATTTGTTATGCAGCAATAGATAACGAATACAGAAGAATTGGCTGATAACTCGTTGTATTTTTTGCATTGATTTTATATCCCTTCCAATCTCAGCCATCCCTACAACCTGATGTGGACTCAATAGCTGTTGTAAACCACTGTCAACTCTTTTTACATGCATCTTAGAAACATAATATTTCTTTTTGTTCATTTCCATTTTGCAGTCTAACTTGGAGAAAGCCCAGAGAACCTGTGCAAAGGAAGCAGATTGAAAACTCAAATAAAATGTGAAAGCATGAATTCAAAGAAAGAATATCCAGTGTTATGGCCTGTAGTGGTAGAAACACTAACCCTAGTACTTGGAGTTTTTTCAAATATAATTTTATCATAAATTATAAATAGAGTTTATTATAAAATAAAATTTTGAGTCAAATTAAATTACTAATTTTGGAACACATTCTTTTTGTAGAGTTAATTGAAAAATTACTTTTGAACAATAGACAATTATGTTAAATCTTATTGTGTTAGTGCATAATTGAGGAAGTGCATGACAAAAGACATTTGCTTTGTCATAGAAAAATTGAAGTAAGTTAAATATTTGATTATATGAATATTTTTTCTCTCTTTTGCAGTAGATCGTTTTTTTATTTTAAAAACTTATTATAGAAAACTATATAAACAGTCAATGAGATTTTATATTTTATGGGGTTATCTAATCCAATTTCACATCCCCAACACTATTTCTTTGCCATTTCCCTTACCAATCTAACTTGCCACAATAGGCATTTTAACAAAAGCTTCAACAGATTGTTTGTTTCACTTTGGAATTCCACATAGCCTTAAATATCTTAATTTTTGTCGTGACTACTTAACATTAATGTATTTTTATGCAGAGTCTCCACATTAACCCTCTCAGCAACCGTCTAAAGTAAGCATCATCATTCATATCCATTTATGTGTAAATTTGGCATATATAAGAATACAGAGGGTAGATAACTTTGCAAGGCTAAATAGCCAAGGCTAAATTCTTACACAGACAATCTGGTCTCATAGCCCACACATCTCAGCTTCATGTCATACTCTATAGTATTTACACAATGAACACTGATTTTTTAAAATATTTTTATTGTGAATTCTCCCTCTCTGCCTTCCTCTGTTGTCTATAAACTTTGTAAGCATGTCATATTTTACCTTTTTTTCCCGATTATTTCATATTCTATGTTAAGGCCAGTAATGAACAAATGTGACTTTACAAAGGGTTCTACCTTCTGCACAATTTATGCTATTTATTTTGAATTATATCATTAATTGGAATTTTAAAATATTTTAACTACAAACAGATCCCAGGCTGAGTTAATGTGGACCATATCGGTTTGGTGTTTCCCCAAACTGGCAAAGACTATTAGAAGTTACAGACTCTGTCATCCCCTTTTTATGTATTTGTGTCTCACCTCCATTCCAAAGTTAAAGTCCAGTAATCTTTTGTTAGTATTCTTTTCTTTCAAGTATTTGAGCTGGAAGTCCCAGAGTGTAAAGTCTATATGGGAGGACTGTCCAGTTTTAAAGTGGATTTGGCCTGGTGTTCCCGTTGGCCAATGCAATGGTACTGGGCAGGCAGGGAGAATAAGAACATAAAGCCAGACAGCTTGGCTTGAATCACAGCATGTCTTATGCTAGCTAGACCAACTTGGGCAAACTACGTAACCTTTCTGTGATGTATTTACATTTATAAAGTGAAGATAATGGTCTCTGCTTCATAGTTTTATTATGAGGATTGAATAGGGACTAAAAGCAAGTGTTACATAAGTGTTTGCAAAATGAAAATATAAAAATGTACATAATGAGAAAGTAGAGGATAACAAGGAGAATTGGCATGAAATAGAATATGCAGTAATGAAAGATGGGTAAATATATATAGATCCCAATGCTTTGGCTCCTGAATCCAGATGTAGTTCCTGAGAAATGTCCTTTGTACCTTTAAAATAAATTCTCCTTTTTTATTTAAACTATTATAAATGAACTTGTGTTTCTTAAAACTAAATAAGACTTACTTGACTAGAAAACTAATATAGAGAGGATTAAAATTGGTTACATAGATAAAATGCTTAGCACAATATATAGCATATAGAAAATGTTTAATAAATCGTAGCTAAAATTGTTCCTCTAACTCCATCTTTATTTAGTTTTTCTAACATTTAGCTATAATTTTGTCATTTTTATGTTCAGATATTTTATTTCCTTAAAAAGACTCAGTCATGATGCACCCATCCTGATCTGTCAAACATTCTGCTTCTTTGCCTATTCTTAATTTTTCTGGCTTCTGAATAAGAAACATGTTTTCTTTGTTATACCCCTCTTATTTGCCTCATATTCCTGGCACAACATGTACAGCTTAGGTATACTGGAAAATCAATTATATTGTTTTGAGACAAACAACCAAAATACCTTGCCTAATCAAACCCAAACCCTAGGTTGTTATTTTCTTATCGTAAGACCTCAAAAAAAGATCTATCTCTGTATCATACAGTCAAATGGTTTTACAAAGAGCCAATCATTTATTTGAAGAGTTGCTCCTGGAATCTTCTTAGATGGTGTTGACTTCTTTTCTTGTGTCTTCCTACCATGGGTGTTAGGTTATCAGAAGGTTTTAGAACCCTCATGTATTGTAAACTCTAGTTCGCTCTCGTGACTATGCTCTTGGGCATAATAAGGTTGGTATTATGAGTGCTTGTAATCAAGATGTTGGCTCCTGAGGGCATTTCAAATTCTTGAGCAGCTGCTTTATTTAACTGTTCACAGAAAGTCATGCTAGCAGTAACATTTTTACCCATTTATAAGCAAGATATTTTGTATTGAAATAACTATTGCATTTGATCCAGTTACTTTTTTATTTATCTTATATAGTGATTTACTATTTGAAGAGATTTAATTTTTCATCAAAGATATTTATGGAAATGTATCGATAGGTAATATTACACTTGTCAAAACTAAAAATAAATTGCATAAAAATGGCTTTTTGGGAAAAAAGAAGCTATGCAAGGTGCATTTCCCATTTTGATTTTATTTCCTAATGAAAACAACAATCCTAAGGGTTGGTGAAATAGTTCTGCTTCTTAGCTCTGCTTCACTTTATTTTTGTGTGACAAATACAATATTCTCAGAAGTTGAAAATATTTTCAAATCATGTAAATCTAGTGAAAATATATAAAATACAGGTGCTAAGGATTGTAAAGCCCTAACTGAGTAATTCAACAAACACTGTTGAAATGAGAACAACTTTTCAAAGCATTTGGTCAGAATGGTCTAAAATTGGGATGACAAATCCATTCAGAAATAGCTCTTTCCTTCAGATGTAGCTCCTTTCCCATCTATACAATTTGTGGTTCATTCAGTAAATGTCAATGCAAATATAAAGGACAACTATTCTTACTGATTTTACAAAATTTTGCCATTGCAAAGGAGTAATGTTGACATTTATCATTCAACAATAACATCCTTAAGAAACTAAACCATTGTAGATGTTTTTAGAACATTGACTAAGTTGCCTTTATCCTTCTTATACTTTCCATATCATTATGCATACCATCAAATCCCAAATATGCAGCATAGAATTATTTTTGGAAACTTTATTTAGGGTCCTATTAAGCTATCATCACATTTTCAAATATACATTCCATATTAGCTATTAGATACCAGAATATGTCAATCAAAATGATCAGAAATATTGATAAGTAGTAAGTGTGCTGGCCTAGAAGCAGCATGACTTTGTGGGGATGCAGACCTGGTTTCTAATTTCAGCTCTGGCTTCTACTACCTGGGAAAGTTGTATCATGTCTCTGACTATTGACTGAGTATACGTAACTTGAGCTAATTATTTATTTGTATTGTTATTACCTCTCAGAAATGAAAATAAAATGTCCTCACAGGCAAATAGAACCAACCATGCTTTTTTATAGGACCATCATGAAAACTAAATAAGTTAATTAATATAAAGTTTTCTGTGTGGTTCTTGGAACAAAGTAACTGTTGAATAAATTTTAGCTTATATTTCATTTTATCTACCCAAGTATAGCTTACACCTTTTGAAATTTTTCCCCTTTAAAATTAATGTCAGTACTTATTTTATTGTTACGAAAAATATCATTTTGCAAATCTAAAACATAATATAAATTTCCAAAGAGGAATTTCACTGCTGGAAGTCTTGGATTGCTTAGCCCATCTATTTTTACCATCCCCTTGTAGTTTGTCAGTAAACAATCTGAAACTCATAGTGAAATGTTCACAAGGTAATTAATGTGAGCAGTTTTCTAAGAAAAATATATACCGCCCCCAACACCACCAACCGTTTTTTTGAAATTCCACAATGTGAATCCTACTCTAGAGTGTAGAGAGTATTTGCTGCAGAAATGACATTTGGCAACATCCCATTTGCCTGATGTATATTGAGAAAGCAAAAAGTAGACTGTTCTGCTCCTTTTACATATATCTAGTGCAACTTTTTCAGACATGTGAAAGATTAAGTACTAGAATTGAATTGAAATTTTCAAGACTGGGAATAATAACAAACTTGTATGATACAAAGAAGAGTGTCATGTGTTTTTCAGTTTTTGCAATGCTACCAGTATTGTATTTATTAATACATTGTTCCCTTTTCATATATCTATTTTTCTACTTTTCCCATACAAGTTGTCTGTATGGACTTACTTTGAAATATACTTGCATACATTTTCAAAGAATATGATTGAGATAACATAGTATTTTTTGGATAAAATAAATTCAAATAGTTGACAAGCCAGTGCTAAGTTTTATTTTTATTCTACATTTCAGTAGGTGGTTTTTCCAAATGGATACATTACTTTTAGATATGATAGAAAATCTTTATCAACTGTATTGTATATCTTCTGAATGGTTCCATATTTTGAAAAATATTTAAGTGGGAAGATATTTATGTTACTTAAATCTATAATTCCTCGAAATCCTTTTTAAATAGAATTTGGTGAGCTGGTGGCTAATGAAACAGTGTGGTATAGGTGGATGTATTTGGCTCTTCAATATTCTATATTTCGTTTAATCAACTGTATCTTCTCCCCTAAGGGCAAAAAAATTCCCTGTTTAAAGAAAGGCAATTTTGGGGAAGGTAGCAATGAAATCGGAAAACACAAATTATATCTTTGGTTTTAAAGGAACTTGAATTCAAATTTTAACATCACAAATGCTAATGTGTATCATCTTGAACCAATTGCTTATTCTCCCTGACCTTTAGTTTTATTAACTGTACAGAAGGGCAGTGGTATGGGAGGCTAATTATCTTCACATTGGAAGGCCATAGTAGAATTCAGTGACATTATTTACACAGTCCCTTGCATAATCCCCTGTTTTTTAAAAAAAGGTCCCATTAATGCTATTACCTCACCCATTTTCTGGATGATTTTATGCTAACAGAATAGAAAGGGTGTTTTTAATGTATTGCTTTGTAATGCAAAACAAAACAAAGCAACAAGAATAAGAACAATATACTCCCTTTCAAACATAAAAATTTAAACTAGTACAGAGCAAAAATCTTGCATTAAAAAAGAGATTATGTAAAATTTGTCAGTACTCCCAACTACCCCTTCATAACTTTTAAAAATTTCAATTTTAATGTTTTAAGAAATAAAATCCAAAATAATATGACCACCTTTCTTGCAAACTCTTGGATTTAATTAACCAGTAAAATGAATTTTCAGCCAACCTATTTAATGACTGTATCCCAAAGCATTGCCAAAACACAGTGCACGTAATATAATCCTCCCATAGTAACATCTTGCTTCAGATAACGTTTTTTCCAGCTCCGTAAGGAATATTCATGGAAGATTTTCTCTGAATTATATTTATTTGTACTGAAGCATGTCAGTATTAAAATGATTGTGCCATTGGTTGAGTTTATGAATAGTGCCATTGCATATTTATGCCCTCTGGAATAAGAGGTAAACCTGAAATCAATATATAGGTATTAAAAATAACTGTACACACAGATACACAAGAATTCATCTTACATGTGGGAACTGCATATTTCAGCCTTATTACCTTTGAGTTTAGAAAGGGTGAAAATAAATGCTGTCAGTATTAATGCTGGGAATTTCAGTTCTGGCAATTAAACTCAACATTTTGTTTTCATAGAGTATCCTAAAAAATCAGCTTCTACTTTTTTAGCTGATATAGCATCAATTACTGATTGTTTTAATTCTGCCATCAAAGAAATCCACCAACATTCTCCTGTATACTTATTTATATTATCACTTTGGAATTCATATATTTCCAGAGATACAATAATTGAATTTAGAGGGCTGGGAAAGAAGGTTAAATGCCAACTGAGTGTAGGGTTTGAGTAGAAAATATCTACATATTATTACATCTTATATTTTGAAGAACTCTTGTATTAGCTATATATCATCATTCATCACTCTATATATAGATAAAAGAAAGCAGATTCAGAGGAATTAAGTAAAGGACCCAAGGTCATATAGATAGTAAGAAGTAGAGAAGATTAAAATGCGCATTTTTCAAGTGACTTCATATCACTTGTTATGTGATATCACTTTATATCACTTAAGGCTTTACCTGGCCTTGATCTTAAGAAGAGAAATAGGTCGAAGACATGTTACGTAGAAAGAAAATAAGAAAGTAAATTAATACTGTTCTATCTGGCTTTTTACTACTGATTAATTTGTTGCAATGATTCCTTGAATAAGCTGACTAGGGATTTGTAACCTAGCTAACAAATTGAAACATGCCAAAGATTGGCTGTGGCCTGTCATAGACAAGAAATAAGAGGTAGTGAAGAGAGCCAGGATATTGAGTTAAACAAACATGAACTCATGCCACTAATGCATTATGTGTCCTTGGGCAAGTGAGTTAATTTCATTCTGTTTTTCTTTTCTAATATTTAAAATGGAAGGACAACGTCAATAAGAATGTCAATAAGAATTATTGATACGTGTCTCCCGGGGAGTTTGAGAAGTAAGAGACATTTACCATGCCTTACACAATTCGTGGCACAGTGTAGGTGTTTAAATTATAGTATTTCTTTTATTCATTCTTAATATTTTGTCAAGTTTTTCCTTTCTTTTGGATTCTAGGAATGTGATTTTTTTCTCTTGGCAGGCGAAACAACAAATTACACCTTCATATGACTAATATGCTTATGTGTCATCCAAACACTTTTACTTCCAATGGCAATGCTAATTAGAGGGGCATGATTAGCAAAATACTAGCCATTTGGAATAATATACCCATATATTATAGAAACACTTTTTGTTTCCAAGTGTTTGATATGTATGTTTAATGTATAAAAAGGTAAGAAATATACATATATATATATACATGTGTATATATATGTGTGTGTGCTTAACAGCTAAGTTATGCATGGGAGAAAAATGTCACTAGAACTAAATGCCTTACAGGTGTTGCATTCTCATTCTGTGAAAAAGATACGGACAAAAGAAGAAACAGAAAGTAAAAAAAAAAAAAAGAAGAAGAAGAAGAGATAATAGATTAGCAAAAGTGGCTAGAATTTCCAAAATTCTATTGGTAAAATAAAAAGTACATTTCTATAGTTAAACTAAAAATACGGTATACATGTTTCAAATGAAGTATAGACATAACATTTTATATTCTTGTTGGTGTTATTCAAGAACAATTGTTGAAAATGTTTAGTTGGAAATTGAGGATTGAATAAATTCACACGTATGGAGACAAATCATTGGCAGTGGAGAGAGTAAAGAAAAGAAGGAGATCAGCAAAGTTGAATAGACTAGGTGGGCAAAGACTCACTGAGATCTGTGTGAGAATGTCCTTCCGAAACTCTGATCTTCTTCTTAAGACATCTATCATCAGATCTCCTAATGCATTTTATCAATAATTTTGAATATTAACCTTAGGGCTAGTTAGATATTAAACAAATAGGGAAGTTCTGTATCAAAAAAAAATAAAAAAAGTTGTATAATGTTAAAAGGATTTCTTCATAGCATAATTACTAAGGGCCTTAACTATAGTATTATCCATTATTAAATCCAAAATAGATATCTGGTATATGGGTTTCTTAGTTTATTCAGAACAGAATTCCTTCACTACAGTGTTCCTTATGAAGGAAACATAAAAGAATACATGGTGGAACATGTGTATTAGACCTTTTATTTACAAATATTATGTGTAATTATTATATGCTGGATCCTGTGGTTCTCAATTAAGGGATGTTCTGGCTCATGTTCCCACACATACTTAGGGGCATCTGGAAATGTGAGTGGGAATTTTGTGGTTGGCACAAGGACTTGTGGAGGGTGGTGGGCAAGGATATATATAGTGTTCCAAGACACAGATGCTAAATGTTTTGCAGTTCCACACGTTAAAGAACTACTGCCTCTCCTCCCCCATGCCAGTAGTGATCTTATTTAAAAATAGCTAAACACATTTTGGGGGACTTTTTTAAGGAAAGTTCCACTCAAAACACATTGATAGTTGTTGGATTCTGTTAGTTCTTTTCCATGCCTGTTAAGCAATGATTATTTATATCACATGAACAAATATATATATTTGGTGCTGAGTGGTAAGAAAAAAACTACAAAAAGCAGAAAAGAATATTCAGTATACATCAATTGGAGGGCATCACAGAAGCAATTGGTTTCTTAAAATCTCTGTCTGATAATTTAATTTACTTCCCTGAATTTATCACTGAATCCTTAGGACTTATAAAACAAAGTGCAAATTCCTTAAACTGATATTCAAGGTTTTCCTAATCTGCACTTGAATATTTGTTGCCTATTAACATCCTCCCAGCATTTTCTTATCAATCCATTCATCACTTCTTCTACATTTCTTTTATTTCTTTGCCTCTGCATTTACCCACAGTGTACATTCTGCCTGGAATTCCCTTTCCCAGTCCACTCTTTATATGTCCAGATCCAAACTATTTTATTCTAGGCTCTGCTAAAAATGCCAAGACCTTTACGAATAGTTCCCTCAATTCCATTTCCTGAAAACAGAATATAATCTCTCGCTTGTTGAAACTCACTACTAATTGTTTTCTGTGATTCCTCATGATATTTGGTATTCTAGATATTGCATTATATTTATTTTTGTAGGTATCTTAATTCTGTCTCTAAATTATAAACACTTAAAGAATTGATTTATAGCTTACTAATCTTTGCAACTTCACAGCTCCTTAGAACCTCCACCCACATAGTTGCTACTCAATGAATAATTGCTAAGTTCATTACTAGTCCTTCAAATGGAGTCCTAGGGACTGGAGGTAAGTGAAATGATTGGTAGATAAGGAAAGGGGTTAATACTGGATAGTCACCACACTTCTAAGCATAATTAGCACGTTTTCAACGACTTCTGAGTACACTTGAGTTGACTTTAATAGTACTCCTGTTATCAATCCCAAGATGACCCAATTATTATGCTAGGACATACTAACTTGTCTAGGACTGACAAATACTTTTTGAAGTTAGCTTGTAAGTTTTCTCTAAAGTAGATTTGAAAGTTATTCATGTTCTATAGTGACCTTTCCATCTCTGATCTCTGATTCCTGACGTTGTGTAATACTCAAATAACCGTCAAAGCTGAATCAATCTAGTAAATAGTTCCCTAAAAATTTTACCTTTTTTCTATGATTAAACAATTAGTTGTTACTATTATTTCCTTTCCTCATAATTGTTAGATTTTTCATGGTTCTTCCTTTAGTAATTCTCCTCCAACTAGAAAATGTCAGAAGTATCATTTTTACTTCTTCAAATAAATAAACAGTCCTTTCATAACTTTGCTTATACAGATCTACTTTTCAAATATTTCAATAATATACCCTGCTCCTATAAGCAAGTATGCCTTCCATTATTTTGAACTTCAGGTTCTTAACCAGATGAGATATTGAGTAATCCAGACTATACCTAGATTCTGAAAGCAAGTGGTCAGAACCCAATAAATTGAGAGATTGTCTGAGTCACAAAGTATGCCAAAATAAATATGTTCCAGTAAACCTCTGAAGTCACCATGGAAATTGACTTCAAACATTTTTTTAGCATTCAATACATTTCTCTTTTCTGCCATTCATCTTATTTTTCAGGTATACTTGTCATGTTCCTTTTTAACTGGAAATATGGCTGGCATACACTCCTTTTAATAACTGTTAGTTCTGCATGTCTGAACCTAAATATCAAACATGATTGGAAAGAGATAAGGTGATGATATTGGAAAAACCTATCTAAAAGGTATGAGTCATGTTTCCAAAATAAGGCAGCAAATTCACTCTTCCTGTTAGTTTATTATTTCATCCAGTAGAATATGTACCTTTTGTTTGTTAATTGCAAGTCTTGATGCCCTGCAAGGACCTCTTTGCATTTTGTAGGTAATGCCGAAAAAAAAAAAAAAAAATTCCTACAGTTAGCATCCAGTATAGTTTATTGCTGTCTGCATTCTGACATTTAACAATGATCTCACTCTCACCAGCAATAGGTAATTGAAGTAAAATACATACTAAACCCAACCAAGATGTTATTTTTCTCCTTTAATGCAGCTCCTTTAAGTACTTGTCTCTCTGGTATTTTAATCTCTTGCAGGAAAAGAATTATTTTATGATACAAATTAACCCTTATAAATATGTTGATTTCTATTTGTCTTTCTATAATTCTTGATATATTAATATTCATTTTTTGTCATTATTAGCAAAAAATTTGAAATATATCTAGTGGGTTGAACAGTGCTCCCTAAAACATATGTCCAAGTCCTCATTTACGGTAGCTGTGAATGTGATCTTATTTGGAAATATGGTCTTTGCATGTGTAATTAAGCTAAATAATTTGAGATGAAATCATCTTGGATTTAGAGTAGGCCCTAAATTATTATTATTATTATTATTATTATTATTATTATCATTCTTCTTCTTCCTCTTCTTCTTCTTCTTCCTCTTCCTCTTCCTCCTCCTCCTCCTCCTCCTCCTCTTCTTCTTCTTCTTATTTTGAGATGGAGTCTCGCTCTGTTGCCAGGCTGGAGTGCAGTGGTGTGACCTCGGCTCACTGCAACCTCTGCCTCCTGGGTTCAAGTGATTCTCCTGCTTCAGCCTCCCGAGTAGCTGGGACTACAGGTGGCATGTGCCACCACACCCAGCTAATTTTTGTATTTTTAGTAAAGACGGGGTTTCACCATGTTGGCCAGGATGGTCTCAATCTCTTGACTTTGTGATTTGCCTGTCTCGGCCTCCCAAGGTGCTGAGATTACAGGCGTGAGCCACCATGCCTAGCCTTCTTCCTATTATTAAAAACATATTCTCAGAACTTTTCAATGTCTCATTGAAACTCAGTGCATAACATGCACATGAAATTTATTTTTCTTTCTTTTAAACTCTTCTTAATTTGAGAACAATAATTACCAAGTCAATCACTTATCTCAAAGTGAGGCTTCAGTTGAAGTCTTTTCTTATAGTAAGACAATTATGCAGATAAAGATGTTTCTTAGAGCCACTATTTCTTGCATCTGATTTTGATTATGCTTGAGAGATGATATAATTATAAAGATTAATTAGTAGTCAGCAGAATAAAGTCATATTTCCTCACATTAGCAATATGTCAGTACTAAAATGCTGAAGCTTTCAGAGAAATGTGATAAAAAATGTTCAGTGCTTGTTAGGTCAGGCAAGTCAATGAAACTGTATTTTTGTGTGCATGCTGATTTGCAAAAATGCAACAGAGATAGTCAGATGAAGGGAATGAAGATTCATTAAGTTTGTAAAAACTCTTTAATTGCTAATTAGATGGGAGCACATCACATTCAAATTGGAAACATTTAGCTCTTTTTCTCCTTACCAATTAATAATAAGAGAGAGAAGATATTTAAAGAAACAAATAATATTTAGGAGGTCTCTTTTGGGCAGACCTGGGCATCACGTATTTCTTTCCATAAAAGTAATTTAACAACATCAGCAGTAACAATATCAATATCAATATCAATAGATAGGATGTTTACCCCTGAAAGGCATTAATTCATCTGTCTTGCCAGCACTAATGAAGGATATGTACTTTCTATGTAGTCCAACACTGCATGTTGACCTGTGCTTTACCTCTTTGCCTCCTCCTAAGCTGAGATTCTTGAGAGCATGGGCTGTGAACACTGTGCTGAGTCACACTGGAGCCTGACACAAAAAGAGTAAATCAGTCATACTCACCTTCTATTTATGTAATATTTTACATTTACGTTTATATTTTGTAAAAATACTGCATTTAACCATTAATTATATTGAGTACGATTTTATTTTGTTGGTGCTTCCTTACTGCTACGTTCTAGAAGAGGACTTACCTGTCTTTTCTTAATCCTGGTCCTTGTGATTCTCATTTATGTGGCCCAGTGCCTGGCACAAGGTCCCCCACATAACTGGTGCTTAAGGAAACAGCTTATGATTCAACAAGTCCTTTATAAGAATTGTGATGCAGCTCTTTCAAACAGAACTTAAAATGCCCAATGAGGACTTAAAACAATCCTATGAAATAGAAACTGGGAGTTGTTAGCAAATGATAACAGGCTCAGCAAGTTAAAGCAAATTACCCCTCGGGCTAACATACAGTCAGATGCCCTCTATGCTATTTATTTTCAAACATATCATGTTAAAAACAAAATGCTTCCTGAAGCAGGTATTGATTTTTTGCCTTTATTATTTGTTAGAATACAATATATTTAACACTTCCTATGAGTAGCTAATAACATCAATATTAGAGCATTGTATATTCTAAAGGCTAAATTTGGATAAATTTCAGTGTAAATATTATAAAATAACCATGAGCAGCAAGATAGAAAAAATCTTAAATTTCTTTATTTAATTTTATATTTAAATCAAAATTCAATAACATTTGAAATGCTTTATGCCAGTTTGGGGTCCCCTATTATTTGCTGTATACATTTTGTTCATATGAAAACTTGTTGACTATGCCAATCAATAAATTTGCCTTAAATTGAATCAGAGGATCTTAATCAATGGGAGTCCAAAATTATGTTTGGCCTAGAGAAAAGATGGGCACTGTATAAGACAGTAGAGTATCATATGCCTGTTGAAAAATTAGTCTGTCCAACAGACTAATTGTAAGTGTCCAACACTTACTCATTCTAATCTAACTTAGCTATGGTAAATTTCTTAAAAGTTTTCTCTGTCCATGCAATGAAAAAAAGCAAACTTACTGGAAAAATATGATTTGAGATTTGCATTTCTATGGTGCACTACAGATGGCACATTACATTAAAATATATATTGAATACTAAAAATGGTAAATCCCACGTCAGCTACTGCTGATGTCTTTCAGACCATCATACCTAACGTCTTTTCTCCAAATTCAGTTCTGAGTTCTAGGCTCTTTATTGGCCTCATATAGGTCAGAAAAACTAAAGATGAAAAAAGTGAAATCATATAATCTGTAAGTACTTGATATTAATGAATTTACTCAGTCAAAAATTTTGGGAAAACTCTCTCTGCTAGTATAGACCTCCCCAAAATGGATATAACATAGTTATAAGCAAACTTTCTGAATATAAAGTGGTGAAGAGAGGGAAAGGGAGAGTGATTATAGTATTATATAAAAAGTAACAATCAGTTGTTTTTCTTGAATAAAGGAGTATCTTCTAAATGATTCTTGCCTTAGAATCTCATCTCTTAATCTCAGAAGTCGAGTTTGTTATATAAACTTTCAATCAGAGAGAAACCCGAGCTCAAAATAAATTAAAAATTCTAAGCAATGGCTGCAAGTGATTTTCCAAAATGCATATGGAGAAGGGTTTGCTTTTCTTGAATAAGTTCTGCATGAATCTGTCCAGGTAACAAAAGAGATAAAGATAGCTATGAATACAATAATATAAATGTAGTTGTCCTTTAAACTCTGAACTTTGTCCAGCTCTAAGAGACTGAGGACTTTTTATAATTTTCACGCTGATTCTGGGTCTAGAAAGTGCAGGCCAAACTAGGCTGTGGATTAATACAGTAGGAAGCAGAACAGTACTCCTCGGATAAAAGAATGGGGTCCAGACACAAAGATGTGAATTTTACCTGAGGGCTTTACTGATGGACTAATGAGCAGGGATTGTAACTTAAGAAACCTTTACAGATATTGACCTTTTTTCTTTTATATTGCTGCATTATAAGCCATATCAAAATTTAAACACCTAAAACAGCTATCTGATTATCTCTTATTTTTCCATGAAATGATTGGGCTCAGTTTTTTTCTCTCTACGTGATACTTGCTGGGCCATTGTTGAATGGCTGTAAATGTCAGGCTATTGGGCCAATCTAAAATTGGCCTGGAATGTCCGACTTGGCTCACTCACATGGTTGGCATTTGATGCTGGCACTTGGCAGGGAGATCATATGGGATTGACAGAGGCAAGTTAGTTCTCCATGTGGTCTCCCCATGTGGCTTGGGCTTCTCATATTATGACTACTCATTAAAGAACAGAAAGTGGATGCTGTCTGTTATCTTAAAGCCTGGGGTTCTAGAATGTCACTTTTGCCTCATCTTATTGGTTACATCCGAGGACAGCCCACAATCAAGGGGAGGGTAGATATGTTCTACCTCTTGACATGTAGTATGAACATAAAGGTAAGAGAAAAATTTTTAGACACTGTCATTGGAAACCAGCTACCGCATTACTTTATATATGCCTATCTTTAGGTTAACAGTTTAATAATCTGGATGTAATCCATTGCATACCATAGATGCATATTTTTTTACTTGTCAAATTATTTTTGTTTTCATTAGAAAATCCAAAATTAAAATAATTCCATTGATTTTTTTAAAGATAGATACATATTTCATATAAAGTCAGTTAACAAATCTGGTATGTTATAATGGACAAACCAAGTACCTATACAATGATATGGCATGTACTATTCACAGCAGTGTTTAAATCCAGTCTTTTTTCATGGGATTGGGGGTTATGGGCTTGAGGTTACGCAAAACATCAAAGTGGAGGTAGCTTCATTCTGGGCAATAATTGTTAAGTAAATTAATTTTTTGAACCTGACTTTTTTCATTTATTAAATGTAGATTATAATATTCTAGTGGGCATTTCTTATCTACTAATCTATCAGCTATTTTATAATTCTCCTCAACTAATAGTACCTGAATTTTGTTTAGGTAACATCCCATTCTTCAAACCGCCTAATCTAAGCCCTTATTGACTTAACCAATTATCATATTCCATTCTTTTGGGTAAAATGATGGTGTTAGGGTTGGGACCCCATCAAACCAATTCAAATAGAATAAATGTAAAAACAATTGGAATGTTGGAAAAAATTTCTTTCTCTGTACACAAACAAAGTATGCAGCACTAGGAGTTGTTATCAAAAGTTATTGAGTAGAGAAGAACTGTTTTATCATGAGATTGGCAATATGGCATTTAGAGAAGAAAGATGAATTTACTGCTTCAAACTGCAGCTACATTTTCTTCTCAGAAGTCTACATTTGAGAGCTAATGGTGAACCTTTTGCTATAAATCTCTTTATGTTAGAATTTTTGATTGTAGCAAAATTAAGATACTTAAAATATGTATACATCACAGAATTGTTTTGAAAATTAAATTTGATAATTATTATAAAACATCCTGTACCATGTCTGGCATATAAACACTTTTTAAAAATTTTACTCATTATTTGAAGTATGGCAATATTCCTAGACTATCAAATAATTTTATTTTTTCTTAAGAAACAGATTTTAAATATTTTTTTGTTTAGTTACAGAACAAAAAAAAATCATAGAACCTTGAGTCTATTTGATTTTAATTTCAATACATAAGGTAGAGCTGCCTGCAATGACAAGCTTACCTAACAGAGAAATATGGTGTAAATGAAAAACACAATAAAAATGTAATTATGGAAGCTGGTTGATTTTTTTTCCTTGAAAGAAGTTTATGTTGGATAAGAAAGAGCTGATTTCTATTATTTGGTATGATTACAGTATTCTATTTATATTCTCAGCACTGAATTAATTTCTTTTTTAATGCTAACCTTGCTGAGGATCCTTTTAAAATACTTTAATGAGTTGAGTACATAAATCATCTCAGTGAACACAAACACTTGTATGTAAAAACTCTGGAGGGAGCTTTCTAAAGATTTTAGAGTAGAAAATGAGTCACTTGAAGGCTTTGTGCCCCCTCTTTTCACTTACCAAAATGAAAATAAATAACAATTGTTATTTTTCATAGACTTAGCAATGGTAAAATCTTTAATAAAAAATTGTTCAAAAGAAAACATACAGCATTGCATATAGAGAGCTTTACAATACATTGCATACAAAGACTACCAAGTACAGGAGTACAGGCTTAGCATTTGTTCTCAGGTTTGTGAATTTTGAGCTGGAATGAATATTGCATTATAATGGAGATCATATGCATATAGGCAAATGTCCACAGTAAAAAGGAGAGTTTTTGAAAGCTATACAGTAATCAATACAGATTAAAATTAGAGAATTAACAGCTAAATATTAAAACTAGAATAGAGAATACTTCATTTATATCTTCTATTAGCTGGAAATATTTATATGTATACAAACAAACTCTAATTTAAAAATAGATAAAGTGCTATAGTTCTGTAATTTGTCATAATTAAATACTTAAAATTATTAGGTGTTCTCACACATATATAACATCAGGTTTACAATTCAGGTAGCGATAATTTGTCAATCTATGGCGAGTCATTGAGTTTTGAATAAACATTGCTTAATTTGCTGGTTTGTAAAACTTCATTTTCATATATTAAATTTTCTTAGAGTAGATCTCATCAATATTCTCACTCAGCAGAAGCATCCCAAACCTTTACCTACATAGAGACACCAAACGTTGTTTTCTAAATAAGATTCATTGGAAGGAACCTAAAGACTCATCTATGATGGAGTTGAGAATATATTAGGAATAAATTAAAAATATAATGGAATACTGGGATAATTTTCCAGTTCTTGAAAACCATCCTACATAGACATAGCCTTGCATGTCTATCTCATAGTTTGTTGAGAAACTGAGGAAAGCATATTTCTATAATTTGCTTTATTCTCACCATTTATAATAGGGATATAAGCTTTAGAAAACAAAGATTCCATCAATACAGAAGGAAGTCAGAGACCAATACTATGTAGTAAAACAAAAATCAAACCAAAACCCATGATTCTGATATAAGATCTATAACAATAATTTGTTTTTTGTTGAATTTAATTTCTATATGTCTGAGTGTTTTAATTTTGTGGAAAAAAAAGGTAACAATAACTTTTAAGCCCTCAAGGGATGAAACTGTTTAGCTGAAGGACATAGTGAACCATTAAGTTTGAGGTGAACTACCCAACAGAATAGCTCCTTAGGAATAAATCAGAAAGTGGCATATTAAAAAGCTACTTGCAAGTTCTGTCTGTATATCTTAACTCCCCCGGAGAATGCCTTGCTCTTACTCTATAAAACATTCTTTTTCCTTAATAACTGACATTATTAGGAAAATGGGGAGGTGGAGCAATATAGCCAAATAGAAACCTCCACCAATAGTTCTCCTACAGGAATACCAAATTGAAAAACTATTTATACAAAAAACACCTTCATAAGAACAAAAAATCAGGTGAACAATCACAGTACCTGGTTTTAACTTCATATTACTGAAAGAGGCACCAAGAGGGTAGGAAAGACCATCTTTAATGTCAACACCACCCCTCCCCAATCTCCTGGCAGTGGCACCATAAGGCAGAGAGAGAATCTGTGCACTTGGTGGAAGGAGAACAAAGCAAATGTGGTGCTTTGCATTGGAACTCAGTGCTGCTGTATCAATGTGGAAAGGAACACCAGGCAGAACTCCGTTGACATCCACAGAGGGAGCATTTAGACCAGCCCTAGCCAGAAGGGATCTGTTGACCCCAGGAATTGGAACTTGAGGTCTGGCAAGCCTCGCTACTGTGGGCTAAACAACTCTGTGATCTAAAATAAGCTTCAAAGGCAATCTAGGTCACAAGGACTGCACTTCCTGGGAAAGCCATGATGCTTGGAGCCAGTGGACTTGGGGGACAAGCAACCTAGTGAGACACCAGCTAGGGTGTTCAAGTGAGTATTTGTGCTACCCCTTCCCCAGTGCCAGGCAGCACAGCTCACAGCTCTGGGAGAGACACTTTCCCTCTGTTTAAGGAGACGAGAAGGGGGAGTAAGAAAGACTCTGTCTTACAACATGGATACCAGCTCAGCCACAATAGGACTGGGCATGAAACAAAGTTGCAAGGCCCACATTCTGGGCCGTAGCTCCTGGATGATATTTCTAGACACACCCTGGGCCAGAGGAAACCTACTCTCTGAAAGGAAGAATAAGGCAGGATTCATCACCTGCTGACTAGAGAGCCCTTGGGACCTGAATAATCAGTAGAAATACCCAGGCAGTACTTCCTATGGGTTTTAGGTGACACTCTGAGACATGCTGGCTCCAGATGTGATCTAGCACATTCCTAGCTGTGGTGACTATGGGGAGAGATTCCTTCTGCTTGAGAAAAGGAGAGAGAAGAATAAAGAGGACTTTGCCTTGAAGCTTAGGTACCAGCTTGGCCACAGTGGGGTAGAGCACTAAGCAGGTTCTTGGGGTCCCCAGTTGCAGGCCTTGGCTCTTGGAAGGCATTTCTGAACCTGCCCTGGGCTACTGGGAGGCCCATTGCCCTGAAGGGAGAGGTCCTAGGCATGGCAGCACTTACCACGAGCTTAAAAAAAGAATGGTTGGGCTTTGAGTGAGCATCAGCAGTTGCTGGTCAATACTTGCCATAGGCCTGGGCCTTTGGTGGCCATCAAGAAAGACTCCTTTGCTTGTGGAAAAGGGAGGAAAGAGTGGAAAGGATGTTGTCTTGTGGCTTGGGTGCCAGCTCAGCTGCAGAACAATAGAGCATCAGGGGGATTCTTAAGGTTTCTCATTGAAGACTTTGCCTTCCTGACAGCATCTCTAGACATGCCTGGGTTCAGACAAACTCACTACCCTGAAGGGAAAGACACAAGACTGGCTGGCTTTGTCCCCTGCTGATTGTAGAGTGTCAGTTCCTTGAGTGAACATAGATGGCAGCCAGGCAGTGGTTACAGCAGGCCTTGGGTAAAACCCAGTACCATGCTGGCTTCAGGTCCGATTCAGCACAGTCCCAGTGGTAGTGGCCACAAGGGTACTTGTGTCAACCCTCCCCCAGATCCAGGCAGCTTGGAACAGAGAGAGATACTTCATTTGTTTGGGAAAAACTAATGGAAGAAAGGGGCCGGGGGCGGTGGCTCACGCCTGTAATCCCAGCACTTTGCGAGGCCAAGGCAGATGGATCACGAGGTCAAGAGAGATCAAGACCATCCTGGCTAACATGGTGAAACCCTGTCTGTACTAAAAATGCAAAAAAATTAGCTGGGTGTGGTGGCAGGTGCCTGTAGTCCCAGCTACTCGGGAGGCTGAGGCAGGAGAATGGCGTGAACCTGGGAGGCAGAGCTTGCAGTGAGCCGAGATTGTGCCACTGCACTCCAGCCTGGGTGACAGAGTGAGACTCCGTCTCAAAAAAAAAAAAAAAAAAAAAGTAATGGAAGGGAAAAGCAGTCTCTGCCTGGTAATCTAGAGAATTCCTCCACATCTTATCCAAGACCACCAAGACCACCTCTACAAGTCTGTAAAGCCACGGATTACTGAAGTTGGGGTGCCTCCTAATGCAGATACAACTACAGTGATGAAATATGTAGATTACAAAACCAAAGTTCCTTAGAATACTCAGAAAGCCTTCCCAAGAAGAATCAGCACAAACAAACTCAAACTGTGAAGAAAAAAATACCTCACACCTCAGTGCCTAATAAACATCCACAGCCATCAAAACCATTTAGGAAACATGACCTCATCATGAACTAAATAAGGCACAGAACAGAGATACGTGCACTTCCAGACAGAGAATTCAAAATAGCTGTGTTGAGGAAGCTCAGTGGAATTAAAGATAACACAGAAAAGGAATTCAGAATTCTATTGAATAAATTTAACAAAAAATTGAAATAAATGAAAAGAACTAAGCAGAAACTCTGGAGTTGAAAAATGCATTTGCATACTAAAGGATGCATCGGAGTCTCTTACCAGCAGAATTGATCAAGCAAAAGAAAGTATTAGTGAGCTTAAAGACAGGCTCTTTGAAAATACACAGTCAGAGGACATTTTAAAAAAGAATAAAAATGAATGAAGCATGCCTACAATAACTAAAAAACAGCCTGAAAGGGGCAATTCTAAGCGTTACTGGCCTTAGAGAGGAGATAGAGAGAGAAAGATTGAGGTAGAAAGTTTATTCAAAGGGATAATAACAGAAAACTTCCCAAACATAGAGAAAGATATCAATACTCAAGCATTAATAAAAGAAGGTTACAGAATACCAAGCAGATTTAACTCAAGCAAGTGTACCTCAAGACATTTAATAATCAAACTCCTAAAGTCAAGGATAAAGAAATGATTCCAAAAGTAGCATGAAAAAAGAAACAAATAACATATAATGGAGCTCCAAGAGATCTGGCAGCAGACTTCTCAATGGAAACATTACATGTCAAGAGGAAGTGGTATATTCAAAGTGCTAAAATAAAGCAAACAAACTTTTCTTCTAGAACAGTATGCCTAGTAAAAATATCCTTTAAATATGGAGAAATAAAGATTCTTTCAGAAAAACAAAAGCTGAGGGATTTTATCAACACTAGACTTGTCTTACAAGAGATGCTAAAAGGAGTTCCTTGATCTGAAAGAAAAGGATGTTAATGAGCAACAAAATATTTAGAGGTGCAAAACTCATGCAATAATAGTAAGTACACAGAAGAACACAAAATATTATAATATTGTAATTGTATTTGTACAATTGGTTTGTAAATTATTCATATCTTGAGAAGAGGAAAAGATAAGTTGATCAAAATAATAACTTCAGCAACTTTTCAATATATAGACAGTACAATAAGATATAAACGGAAACAACAAAAAGTTAAAAAGCAGGAGGATAAAATTCAAATGTAGAGATTGTACTCATTTTATCTTTATTTATTAGTTTGTTAGTTTATGAAACCAGTTTAAGTTGTCATCCGTTGAAAATAATTGGTTATAAAATATTATTTGCATGCTACATGGTAACCTCAAGTCATAAAACATGTATCAAATACACAAAAAAATAAAAAGCAAGAAATTAAAACATGCCACCAGATAAAGTTATCTTAATTAAAAGGAAGTCATAAAGGAAGGAAAGAAGGAAGAGAAGACCAAAACAGTTGGAAAACAGATAGCAAAATGATAGCAGTAAGTCCTTAGTTATCAATAATAACCTTGAATGTAAATGGACTGCACCCTCCTATCAAAAGAGATGGAGTGGCTGAATGGATAAAAAGAAAAAAAATAAGATCTAAAAATCTGATAACCATAAGAAACACACTTCACCTATAAAGACACAAAAATATGCAAAATATAGGGATAGAAAAAAGATATTCTTATGCAAATGGAAATCAAAAAAGAGGAAGAGTAGCTATACTTATATCAGGCAAAATATATTTTAACACAAAAATCATAAAAAGAGACAAAGAAGGTTATTATATAATGATAAAGTTGTTAATTCAGCAAGTAGTTATAATAATAGTAAACATATATGCACTCAGCACTGGAGCAACCAAATATATAAAGCAAATATTATTAGTGCTAAAGAGAGAGATAGAATCCAATACAATAATAGCTGGAGGATTTAACACTTCACTTTCATCATTAGACAGATCATCCAGACAGGAAAAGAACAAAGAAACATCAGACTTTATCTGCACTACGGACCAAATGAACATAATACACATTTACAGAACATTTCACCCATCAGCTGTGGAATAAAAGTTATTTTCCTCAGCACATAAATTATTCTCAAGGTTAGACCATATGTTAGGCCACAAATCAGTTCAAAAAACTGAAATTATGTCAAGTATCGTCTCTAAACATTGTGGATTAAAACTAGAAACCAATAACAAGATGGATTTTGGCAACTATACAAGCACATGAAAATTAAACAATATGCTCCTGAATGACCAGTGGGTCGACAAAGAAATTAAGAAGGAAATTAAAAATTTCTTGAAACAAGTAAAAATGGTAACAAACTTAGCAAACTTATGAGATGTAGTAAAAGAAGTACTAAGAGAAGATTTATAGCTGTAAGTTCCTATATTTAAAAAGTAGAAAAACTTCAACTAAACAACATAATGATACATCTTAACTAGAAAAGCAAAAGCAAATAAAACCTCAAACTAGTAGAATAAAAGAATAATAAAGATCAGAGCAGAAATAAATAAAATTGAAACAAAAAAATAGAAAAGATAAGTGAAACCAAAAGTAGATTTTGAAAAGACAAACAAAATTGATGAACCTTACTTTAAGTAAGAACAAAGAAGACTCAAATAAGTAAATTCAGAAATGAAAAAGAAGACATTGCAACCAATACCACAGAAATCCAAAGGATCACTAGACTACTGAGCCTCTACATGCCAATGAATTGGAAAACTTAGAATAAATGGATAAATTCCTTGACAAATATGACCTACCAAGATTGAACCATGAAGAAATTCAAAACCTAAGCAGACCAATTACAAGTAATGAGATCAAAGCCATAATAAAATGTCTTATAGCAAAGCAAAGCCTGGGACTTGATGTCTTCACTACTCAATTTTTCCAAACATTTAAAGAAGAATGAATATCAATTCTACTCAAACTGTTTCAAAAAATAGAGATGGAGAGAATACTTCCAAATTTATTGTAAGAGGCCAGTATCACACCAATACTAAAGCTAGACAGGAAAGGAAAGGAGAGGAGAGGAGAGGAGAGGGGAGGGGAGGGGAGGGGAGGGGAAGGCAGGAGAGGGGAGAGGGAAGAAGAAAGGAAAGAAGGAAGGAAGGAAGAAAAGAAGGAAGGAAGGAAAGAAAGAAAGAAGAAAAAGAAAAAAGAAAGAAGAAAAAGAAGAAAGAAAGAAGAAAGAAAGAAGAAAAAAGAAAGAAAGAAAGAAAAGAAAGAAAGAAAGAAAGAGAAAGAAAGAAAGAAAGAAAGAAAGAAAGAAAGAAAGAAAGAAAGAAAGAAAGAAAGAAAGAAAGAAACTGCAGGCAAATATCCATGATAAACATTGATGCAACAATCCTCTACTAAATACTAGCAAACCAAATCAATAACACATTAAAAAGATCATTTGTCATGATGAAGTTGGATTTACTCTAGGGATGCAAAGATGGTTCAACATATGCAAATCAATCAATATAATACATCATATCAACAGAATGAAGGAAAAAATCATTTAAATTGATGCTGAAAATGCATTTTTTGAAATCCCACATCCTTTCATGATAAATGTCCTGATAAATGAAATTCATGATAAATAAATGAAAGTAAACAATCAACAAAGTAAAGAGAAAACACACAGAATGGGAGAAAATATGTGCAAACTATTCATCTGACAAGGGATTAATAACAGGAAAAAACTGGATACAGAAGGAACATACCTTAACATAATAAAAGTTATATATGACAGACTCACAGCTAGTATACTGCATGGGGAACAATTGAAAACCTTTTCTCTAATATCTGTAAGATGACAAGGATGCTCACTTTCACCACTGTTATTCAACATAGTACTGAAAGTCCTGGCTACAACAATCAGACAAAAGAAAGAAATAAAGGGCATTCAAATTGGAGTGGAAGAAGTCAAATTATTCTTGTTTACAGGCGATATGATCTTCTATTTTGAAAATCTTGAAGACCCCATCAAAAAACCTATTAGAACTGATAAATAAACAGAGTAAAGTTGCAGGATACAAAAATCAACATACAAAAATTAGTAGCATTTCTATATACCAACAGTGAACAATCTGAAAAAGAAATCCAGAAAGTAATCCCATTATAATACTACAAATAAAATAAATTCATAGGAATAAGCTTCACCAATGAAATAAAATATCTCTATAATGAAAACTATTTTAAAAATAATGAAAGAAATTGAAGTGGTAACACAAACCTGGAAAGATATTCCATATTCATCAATTAGAAGAATCAATATTATTAAAATGTTCTTACTACCTAAAGCAATCTAGAGATTCAATGCAATATCTATCAAAATACCAATGACAGTCTTCACAGAAGTAGAAAAAACAATGCTAAAATTTATATGGAACCACAAAAAGCCACAATAGCCAAAGTTATCCTAGCAAAAATAACTAAACTGGAGGAATTATATTACCTGACTTTAAATTATATTACAAAGCTTTAGTAACCAAAATAACATGGTCCTGGCATAAAAACAGATGCATAGACCAAGGCAACAGAATAGAGAATCCAGAAACAAATCCATACATCTACAGTGACCTAATTTTCAACAAAGGTGCCAAGAACATACATTGGGAAAAGGACAGTCTCTTCAATAAATGATACTGGCAACACTGGATATCCACATGCAGAAGAATGAACCTAGACCCTTATGTCTCACAGTTAAAAAAATCAAATCAAAATGGATTAAAGCCTTAAATCTAATACCTGTAAATGTAAAACTAGTAAAAGGAAACATTGGGTAAAATTTTCCAGGACATTGGACTGGGCAAAATTCCATGAGTAATACCCCACCAGCACAGGCAATCAAAGCACAAATAAACAAATAGGTTCACATCAAGTTAAAAAGCTTCCGTACAGGAAAGTAAACAATCAACAAAGTAAAGAAAAGACAAACAGAATGGGAGAAAATATGTTCAAACTATTCATCTGACAAGGGATTAATAACCAGAATATATAAGGAGCCCAAACAACTCAGGAAATAAATCTAACAATTTGATTTAGTAATGGGCAAATGATCTGAACAGACATTTCTAAAAGGAGCCATACAAATGGCAAACAGGTATGTGATCAGGTGCTTAACATCACTGATCATCAGAGAAATGCAAACCAAAACCACAGTGAGATAGCATCCCACCCCAGTTAAAATGGCTTTTATACAAAAGACAGACAGTAACAAATGCTGGTGAGGATGTGGAGAAAAGACAACGTTGGTACACTGTTGCTGGGAATGTAAATTAGCACAACCATTATAGAAAACAGTTGGGAGTTTCCTCAAAAAAACAAAGAGTGGAACCAACATAAGATCCAGCAATCCAACTACTAGGTATATACCCAAAAGAAAGCAAATCAATACATTGAGAAGATATCCTTACTCCCATGTTTATTGCAGCGCTATTCACAACAGTCAAAATTTGGAACCAGCCTAATTGTCATCAACAGATGAATGGATAAAGAAAATGTGGTACATATACACGATGGAGCAGTATTCAGCTATAAAGAATGAGACCCCGCATTTGCAACAACAAGGATGGAATTGGAAGTCATTATGTTAAGCAATATAAGCCAGGCAAAGGAAGATAGCTGATTTTGGAAGCTAAAATTAAAATAATTGAACTCATAGAGATAGAGAGTAGAATAATGGTTACCACAGGCTGGGAAGGGTAGTTGCAGGGAGAGACGGGATAGTTATTGGGTACAAAAATAGTTAAATAGAATAAATAAGATCTAGTATTTGACTATAACAGGGTGACTACAGTCAAAAATAATTTATTCTATATTTAGAAATAACAAAAAGTATATAATTTGATTTTTCATAACACAAAGAAAGGATACATGCTTGAAGTGATGAATATCCCATTTACCCTGATTTGATTATCACACAGTTTGCCTGTGTCAAAATATCTCATGTACCCCATAAATATATACACCTACTATGTACTCACCAAGTGAAAAATTAATTATAAAAAAAAATTGACCCAGACTTTTGGCTTCTTTTCAATCTATAATAGCACAGTTGATTCCTGAGCTGTGATGACTTTCCACTGACCATACTACTGCAATGATGTTATTCTGGGCCAAACTTCGGAATCAATTCTTGTCTGCTGCCTGATTCAATTATTTTTAATGCACCCTGGTCAGTCCATAAATGTGATCTTTGAATGTCTATGAACATAAATATTTTGTTATAACGATCATAGTTTAAATTTGATGGTTAGCAACAAGATAGAGTATTTGGAAGTTTATTGAGGTTTTGAGAGATAGTTTTCACTGTACCCATACATTTGACTTTTAATTTCTCACTCATATAAACATCTGGAAATTACTATTTTTGCATAAATTACTTTGTATACAAGAACCCAGCATGTTACAATTTGCACCTTTATTAGTCTGGAGGTTTGAAATGGGTTTTATTACTCATGCCCTTGGTTCTATTAAGGAGGCTCACTCTTTGGAAGGATGAAGGAGGACAATTGTATTAATAAAGCATTATTTTTCGGCCGGGCGCGGTGGCTCACGCCTGTAATCCCAGCACTTTGGGAGGCCGAGGCGGGCGGATCATGAGGTCAGGAGATCGAGACCATCCTGGCTAACACGGTGAAACCCCGTTTCTACTAAAAATACAAAAAATTAGCCGGGCGAGGTGTCTGGCGCCTGTAGTCCCAGCTATGCGGGAGGCTGAGGCAGGAGAATGGCGTGAACCCGGGAGGCGGAGCTTGCAGTGAGCCGAGATGGCGCCACTGCACTCCGGCCTGGGCGACAGCGAGACTCCATCTCAAAAAAAAAAAAAGAATTGTTTTTCATGTTCAAATAAAGCGGAAGTTATAGAAAACATTATCATATAAAAATATTTCTTTTTAGAAAATCATAAGTAGCAATGAACTATATATTATAAACATTAAAATAGCCAAATCATATTTAAGTTTTCTTAACACAATGGAAACTGTCTAAACAAGTCATCTAGTCTTTACCCATTATAACCTTAGATTTAAAAAAATTAGATTGACTTTGAAACAATCCCAAAATAGGTGGAATAATTAACAGAGCTGTAATCATTGTTATAAACATCCTGAGAAGTCACTCTAATAAAACTGATACATTAAAATCTCCAAAATAATCAGGTGCAACTAAACATGATTAATGGTGAACCAACTAAATTCACGTGCAAAGCATATTAAGCACTTGTGGACTTTGACTTGTATCAAACTTCCTCTTTAATCTGATTCTTTTATAAGAGCAAATATACTAGCAGTTTTACTTTGCTCACATATTTTAATCCCATGCTATTTTTATTGCAGTGGATTTTTACTTGCTAAAGTAGAAAGAAGATCCCAACATTTGATGAGAAAATATACAGAAGGTAATTTCTACAAAATGTTAAATGTTTTTATTCAATGCTCTATCCTGATTTTTTAAAAAAGTCCTGGCTCACGCCTGTAATCCCAACACTTTGGGAGGCCGAGGCGGGTGGATCACAAAGTCAGGAGTTCGAGACCAGCCTGGCCAACATAGTGAAACCCATCTCTACTAAAAATACAAAAAATTAGCCAGGCATGGTGGCATGCACCTGTAATGCCAGCTACTCGAGAGGCTGAGGCAGGAGAATCACTTGAACCTGGGTGGCAGAGGTTGCAGTGAGCCGAGATCACACCACTGAACTCCAGCCCTGGCAACAGTGTGAGACTTTTTCACCAATGTAATGAAATTATTTTTGACACCAGTGATGTTTCCTTTGAGGAAGTTCCCGCTTTTACAATAACAATAACTAGAACCATAATAATGAGTAGACAGACTGGACATTATTTATTTGGTCTGGGAAAGCACTGCTTAACATAACTCCTCTGTATATGCCTGAAATGTAACCATGAAACATACAGTTGCTTTTTACATCAAGGATCAAACTCTTGAAATTTTTTCCTTATGCTCTTTTTCACTAGACCCTTTCCATTGCCTTTCCTTTGGCTGTTCTTACTTTTCTTAGCCTCAATAGTTACCTTCCATTTAGCCTACCACCACGAGGGAAAAAAAGAAAAAATTAAAAACTGACTAATATTTTCTAAACCTGTGTTTCTAGATGTGGATCTCTCTTTTGGGCAGATGAAAGTATATTGAGTTTACACATGGTGACAGTACAGATTTGTTTTTAATTACAAAAGAACATGGCTACTGCCTTTGAATTCTCAACATTCAGCGTGGTCAGCAGTAGTAAACCTGGCAATTTGAGGGCAACCCAAGTAATAGCAGCAACAGCAACAACAGACCTTAATCAAGCAATTAATATGTGCCATGTCTCTTGCTAGACATTTTAACAAGAGTTATTTTACCTATGTCACACACTTGTAATTATCTGCATAGTAAATAAATGCTTTTAAGGCATAGGTCACATGTCTGACTCACAGCTGCGATGTGGTGGATCCAAATCTCTCTGAGGCCAAATACTGCCCAGCTCGAATGAACGCTATGCTCCATGCCTGAAACAACTGCTCCAGCCCTCAGAAAAGAGTCTCCCATTCAACTGAAGTCTGCATATCAGATTCCCGTGGGATAATTCATAAAGGCTCCTTGAAGTTAATTCTGGGTATATCCTGAAATAGAGGGTCTCCTCTGTTTTTTCTTCTTTTTTTCCACAACTGAGGAGACACTAGTGCCTACTTATCTCAATAATGGGATTTCTCTTTGATGCAATTGCAGTTTTTACTAGGCCTTTCAATAAATATGTTGAATATTTTTCCCTGTTGTACGTGTCTGTGTGCTGCAGTGCCCTTTCTACTTTCATATCAGCTTATTTCCTTTTAGCTTTTGCTACATTTATCAAATATCACAATTGATGTTGAGGAAGATGATGATGATGATGTGTAGGTTTCTGTATTATTTTAATTAAAACCAATCTTTTATTAAACAGCAGATAGACTTAAGAAAATTAAATTAATCTATCTATGAGAATCTGAACTACAAAATTACAGTTGCCAAAGAGTCAAAACATCCATAATATAGAGATGTGCTGAGGACATCCTTGGTGAGTGGAAGTCCATGTTGCTGAGCCTATGTGTAACCTCCATCCCTGCCACCGTGGCCACTTTGTTCATGGGCCCATTGGGTGATGACAGGGGTGGATGGAAAAAGAGGCTGAGTGGTGTCCACAGAACAGGTCGTCCTATCCACTTGATTATTAAAATCCTCCTCTGCTGAGGTCACCTATTGGTAAGCACTCACATAGGATACAAATATCTTCACAGTTTTAGACCACTCAGAGAGGTCCATCCACATAACTCATCCCCAAATTTATTTGTCACCAATTTTCCAATCATGCTTCTTCCAAGTTCCTGACCATCCAGCCAAACCATTGGCTACAGCCAATGAATCAGTATATAATCACACATCTGGCCATTTGTCCTTCCATGCAAAGTGCACAACCAGGTGCACTGCTCGAAGTTCTGCCCAATGGGAAGATTTCCCTTAACTACTGTCCTTCAGGGATGTCCTAGGAAGGGGCTGTGGTGCTGCATCTGTCCACTTTGGGATGCTGCCTGCCTATCATGCAGAACCATCTGTGAACCAGGCCCTTGTTTTCTTTTTCTCTCTCAACTGATCATAGGAACCTCCCCATGAGGCCACTGGTGCAGGCTGGGAAAGAAGGCAGAATGGCAGGAGTGGAGACCATGGGCATTTGAGTTACTTCCTCATGTAACATCAGTGCAGACTGGGAGAGAGAAGCAGGGTGGCAGCCAAGAGGCCATAGTTATTTTAGCCACTTCCTTATGTAACTTACTTGTGCTTTCAGGACCTACTCGAGCCTGATCACATATATACCACTTCCATTTGATGATGGAATGCTGCTGGGCATGCCCAACTTTATGGCTAGATGGGTCAGAAAGCACCCAGTTCATGATAGGCAGTTCAGGTCACATGGTGATTTGATGACCCATGGTCAAATGTTCAGTTTCCACCAAAGCCCAGTAACAGGCCAAGAAATGTCTCTCAAAAGGAGAGTAGATGTCTGCAGAAGATGGCAGGGCCTTGCTTCATAATCCTAGAGGCCTCCACTGAGACTCACGTATCACGACCTGCCAAAGGCTTCAAACAGCATCTGTATCTGTCACTGATACCTCCAGCACCATTGGATCTGCTGGGTCATATGGCCCAAGTGTCAGAAAAACTTGCACAGCAGCCTGGGCCTGTTACAGAGCCTTCTCCTGTTCCGGACCCCTCTCAAAACTGGCAGCATTTTGGTTCACTTGATAAATAGGCCAGAGTAACACACCCAAATGAGGAATGTGTTGCCTCCAAAATCCAAATAGGCCCACTAGACGTTGTAACTCTTTCTTGGTTGTAGGAGGGGCCAAATGCAGCAACTTATCTTTCACCTTAGATGGAATACCTCGACAGGCCCCACACCACTGGACCTCTAGAAATTTTACTGAGATAGAGGGTTCCTGAATTTTAGTCGGATTTATTTCCCATCCTCTGTCAAGCAAATATCTCACCATTAAGCCCAGTTTGTTTTCTGCTTCTTGCTCACTGGATCCAATCAGCATTATGCCATCAATGTAATGGACCAGTGTGATGTCTTGTGGAAGCGAAAAGCAATCAAATATCTCGGAATGAGATTATGACACAAAGCTGGAGAGTTGATATATCCCTGAGGTAGGACAGTAAAGGTATATTGCTGGCCTTGTCAGCTGAAGGCAAATTGTTTCTGGTGGGCTTTATGGACAGGAATGGAGAAAAAGGCATTTCCCAGTCAATGGCTGCATACCAGTTACCAGGAAATGTGTTAATTTGCTCAAGTGATGAAACCACATCTGGTACAGCAGCTGCAATTGGAATCACCACTTGGTTAAGCTTACAATAATCCACTATTGTTCTCTGATCCATCTGTCTTCTGCACAGGCCAGATACTAGAATTGAATGGAGATGTGGTGGGAATCACCACCTCTGCATCTTTCAAGTTCTTAACGGTGAAAGTAATCTCCACAATCTATCCAGGGATGGGATATTATTATTGATTTACTATTTTTCTAGGTAGAATCAGCTCCCATGGCTTCCATTTGGCCTTTCCAACAATAATAGCCTTCACCTTGCCAGTCAGGGAGACAATGTGGGGGTTCTGCCAACTGCTAATTAGATCTATGCCAATTATGTATGCTGGCACTGGGGAAATGACCACAGGGAGTGTCTAGGGAACCATTGGACTCACTGTGAATTGAACCTGAGCTAAAAGTCCATTAATTACCTGACCTCCATAAGTTCCTACTTTAACTGGAGGGCCACAATGACATTTTGAGTACCCTGGAATCAACAGCTCAGAGCCAGTGTCTAGTAGTCCCTGAAATCTCTGATCATTTCCCTTTTCCCAGTGCACAGTTACCCTGTCAAAAGGCCAGAGGTCTCCCTGGAGAAGGTTGGGAGAAAGATTAACAGCATATAAATTATGGATAGCATAGTGGGGTCCTTCCTCAATGGGACTCGGCCTTCCCTGCATTAAAGGGGCTCTGGGTGTGTAAACGGGCTCAAGTCTGGAAATTGATTGAGGAGCCATAATTCTCTTTTTTAATAATTCAAATTAGTCTTTTGTCTATTCGACCTGGAAGTTTTCTGCTCATGTAAATTAAGTAGAAATGCAGTAGGCTTTGTATCAATTTCACTTCTAGGAAGACTGTGATTAATCAGCCGATGCCAAAGCTCTATAAGAGTAAGACTATTCTGATTGCCGCTTTGGCTCTGCTGTTCATTACAGTAGCAACACTAACTTTGCCTTGGATGATTGAGTGCCACTACTTTGCCCCTGCCACCTTGGGATCCAATTATTCCCCAATTATTCCCATTGAATTTAAATTTTGTAGTTGAGTGACTGAGGTTCCCACTATTAGATCTGACATACAGAGAAGAGCAATTACAGGGCTCTTCAAAGATGCAGGTGCTGCCCTCACAAATCTGTTTCACAAGGCATTGGTCAAGGGACTCTACCAGCTGGGATGAGTAGGTCTAAAGTGACTAATCCACTCCACTATCCCAATATCCCTAAGCCTTTGGATCCCTTCCTTTATATTAAACCAAGAGAGATCAGGTGTTTCCAGCTTGCTCACAGTGGGCCATCCTTTAATCCATATTTCAGCTAACCCAACCAATAAACTATTAGAACCTTTTTTAATTCTCCAAGATGCAACATTAAAAGCAGAGTCCCTATTTAGTGGGCCCAAATAAATAAATTCAGCCTGATCCAAGTCTATGTTCCTTCCACCATTATCCCATACCCTTAATATCCATTCTCATGCCTGCTCTCCAGATTTCTGTTTATGTAAATTAGAAAACTCAAACAGTTCTTTTTGAGTGTAGCACACCTCCTCATGGGTCACACTTTCAATCTCACCTCTAGGGGTCCACCAGGACTTTAGTCTAGATATAGGTCTAGAAGCAAACAGAGGTGTTGGGGGTGGCTCCTGAGGAGAATCAACATTATTTTGCCAGGCAACTGCCTCAGGGGAGGCCATTACTGTTACCTCAGGCAGTGCGGGGTTTATCTCCTCAGACAAAGGTAGAAAGGCTGATGGCAGCATGGGTTGGGGAGGGGATGTTGCCACTACTGGAGATAGGGAAGCTGTTTCTTCTGGCAAAAAAGGTTCATCAGAGTTTACAAGCTCAGTGTCCCCAGCTTCATCAGAATACACCCACATTTCCCCATTCCAAGTTGCAGGATCCCATTCTTTTCCAATCAATGCCCTCACTTTAACAGTAGGCACCTAGTGAAGCTGTGCATGCATCTTTCATTGCAGATCAGCCACTCACACGATAAGAGCTTGTGTCTGCTTTTCTACAATTTCAGCTCTTCAGCTCTTTCTCTACAGGAGATAAGACTCTCACTCGGGGCAATCTTAGCAGATTTGAGGCTCAGTATCTGCTTCTGAAGGCAGGAGTTAGAATCCCTGAGTTCATCATTTTCTTTTGTCACTTTGTCCAATGAACTTAGGAGCAACCAACAAGCTTCATATGTTCCTTGGTTCTCCACATACAGTCAAAGGTATTATGTATAGAGTCACTAAATTTCTTGCCTCTCATGAGCGGTGAATCATGAATGTCAAATGCATTTATTTTGCATAACTCTCCACACAGGTCACACCAAGGGCCATCAGTGTTCTCCATACTATTAGAAGTACAGTCCTTAGCATTTTTGGGTCTAGTCATATTAAGCAGCCAACTCCAGAAACACCCAAAACAAAAAAAGAACTCCATCCTTAATATTCCGTTCCTCTAGAACCACTCCTGGTACCAAAATTTGTATTAGGATTCTGTAGAGGAATAGAACTAACAGGATATATATATATAAAATAAGTAACAGGGTATATATATTTTCATATATATTATTTAAGTGATTTTAATAACACATATATATAAGTAAATAAAGGAAAGTTTATTAAGTAGTGTTAACTCACACGATCACGAGGTCCCACAATAGTCCACCTGCAAGCTGAGGAGCAAGGAAACCAGTCTGAGTTCCAAAGCTGAAGAACTTAGAGTCCGATGTTCGAGGGCAGGAAGCATCCAGCATGGGAGAAAGATGTAGGCTGGGAGGGTAAGCCAGTCTAGCCTTTTCACATTTTCCTGCCTGCTTTATACTCTGGCCACACTGGCAGCTGATTAGATGGTGCCCAGCCAGATTAAGGGTGGGTCTTCCCTTACCAGTCCACTGACTCAAATGTTAATCTCCTTTGGCAACACCCTCACAGACACACCCAGGATCAATACTTTGCATCCTTCAATCCAATCCAGTTAATACTCAGTAGTAACCATCACAAAGGTGAAATCTAGAGCTTCTTTCTTTAACACAATCTATTTCTGTACTCTGCATGAGACCAAAGTTTAAAAATTGAGAAGTTCATATCACATGTCTCATTTCCAGGTAATGTTTATATTCTTTTTTCTTAGTATAAAACAAAAATGTTAGATTTAGTTATTATAACTCTGGTAACTTACAGATGACTACAAATAGCATCAAAAAGTGAGTTTTATGTCCTCTCCCCTTAAGTCTGGATTGGTCTCTGACTGCTTTGACAAATACAGTGTGGAAGAAATGATGCCATACAAGTTTTGGGCTTAGAATTCAAAGGGACCTATAGTTTCTTCCTTGGTCTAAGTGGAGCCTTGAGCTAAAATATAAGTTTGACTATATTGCTGGAGATTTCATGGAAAGGCACTAAGATTACAGGGAAAGGATAGCCCTGCCTGCTAGCTCTCTCCTCCAAGATCCCACACATTTGTGTAAAGTCATCTTGGACATTCCAGACCAGAAAAATTATTAGCTGAACTTCTCCAAATCACCCCAGTTAATCCCAAGTGAGCAATTGAATTGTCCAAGTAAGCACAACTTGAATTCTTCACCCACTTAATTGGGAGATAAAAGGAACATGTATTTATGTCACTAAACTTTGAATGAGTGCATTATGAAGCATTCGTATCTGGAACAATAGATATTAAAGCTTCTTTTAAGCAAAGAGGAAGACGACCATGTCTGTGATATTATTTTAGAATGTAGGGAAAAAGCCATGCTTTATCACCCTACCACAAAACTGTAATGAAAACAAAATAATTATCTCTTTATCAGTTTAATCCAAATAGAAGCTTCTTTAACTCTGAAGTAAAAGGGATCGATGCTTGTCACATAAAAGGATAATTGTCAAGTAGTACAATTAGCACATGCAAAAACTTAAAACTATCTCAATATATTATTGTTTTTAAAATAGTAAAAGTTTAGGAAAATTTATAATAGTATATTATATAGACTTCATAATAATGACATTCAAATGTATGCCCAATATAAGAAATTGTTTTAACAAATATTTATTGACTTCTATTATATAAAAAGCTATATGTCTGACCTTCCACTACATGACAAGCACTGGAACTCATATCTTACTGAATATAATGAATATAACTAAATATATAGGTAGCTAGATGCTTCATGTCTGTCCAGAACATTAACAGCCCCAAATATGTATCACTGTATTTAAGTGACTTTAGTAAGATAATTTGAAAAGAACACATCTGTACAAATTTAGAAAGCTGTGTAACAGAAAAGAGTGCACTAAAGAGTAAAATTGTACATAATGATTCTATTTTAATCATAATAAATTGTAGTGGAATTACTCAGGTTATCACAAGGGCAGAAAATGGCTTGGAAAGCAGTGGTTAAAAAAAGGACATTACTCATATTTTTATGATTTTTTCTTAGACCTACTCCAGATATGCAAGAAAGCATTTTAATCTACAGTTAAAATACCCTCATCAGCCTGGGAAAGGTGGTGTGCTTGAAAAAGATGTGAAAATTTAATTTAATGGACTACCCTAAAATAGTGTCTCAGTGCGACTATCTACATTCACAATATTAATGTTCATATCTTATTTGAAAGAACACTATTAGTATAACCAGGTCACTCATGCAAATAAGGAGACTCCCATCTTATAATAACAACTTCCCACCACAATTTGATCAGGCTCAGTGACCTAAAGGTAATAAATGCCTAAGCCAACAAACCAAACAGCAGATAGATAAATCAGCTGCCAATAACAGTCTTTCAAGCCATCCAACCCTCTGGGATTGATGTGTTTAAGTAAGAAAAATATACTGTGTGGTGTTGAATCACTAATGATGTTGTAAAGCAAATAGTATTTAAATGATTTACCTTGCAATATCTGTGTACTAATTATATTATCAATACTCTATGAATAGGTGATATAAAGAAAATAGAAATAAGATTTATCATGTTGTGAGTTTGAAAATCATGAGCAATCAGCTACTTCTTTGAATCAAAACACAAAAATGACAATCATCATGAAGCGTAAAAATTGCATTTGTTGAAGGTACAGTTGTGGGTTATGCTTTTATTTTCCAATGAGCCTCCAAGGTCCTAACTTTTGATGATCATAGTAGATATATTCTATTCTCTTGAAGAATACACTGTGATAATATTAAGATAATGAGTTCCACCTGCCAAACACATAAACAAACAGAATAGAACAGGTAAAGGTAACAGGACACAGAATAAAATAAAAATCATAAACAATAAGATGTCTGCTGGTTCTTGTGCCTTAACTGGTTGGAGGTTCAGGGAAGATTTGAGGCAATAAATTAATGTCTTACAGGAATCCTTCTCTATGTTTTCCTCTGATCCTTACATTAGGACTACAAGTCCATATGATGACACATCCCATATTGAGTACACTTAGTAATTGAGACTAGAATCAACTACTACATTTGAGTCACTATGCAGCCTTGACTTTCTTATAACTGCCTTAGTTTCCTTATCTGGGCCCCAGGATCCTTATCCAAAAGGGAGTGGAATACTAGCATCTACCTCACATAATTATAAAAATTTAGTTAGTAACAAATACAAAGTTCTCAATGTCTGACATAATGTAAGTTCCATAGAAGAATAAAATATGATTCTCAATTGTTATCATGATCCTGACAATGACTAATGACTTGGGACTTCACATCTTCCTACAATACCTTCTAGCAGATAAGACTGCAGTTTTCTTCTCATAAATGGCAGAAACTTAACTTTAAATTTAAATTAACATTAAATTGTAAAATGTACTCTTTACTGTGCTAAACAAATCTTTGTAATGATCCCTAACTAACTACTGTAAGTATAAACATTTGAATCACTGACTAGGATGAAAAAATGTATCACAGCCCATTCCTAGAGTTGTAAGTGGGGTCAATCCTAACTGAACCAAAACATGTTCACATCGAATTTCAAAATTTTTTTTTTTTTTTTTTTTTTTTTGAGACCGAGTCTCGTTCTGTGCCCAGGCTGGAGTGCAGTGGTGCGATCTGGGCTCACTGGAAGCTCCGCCTCCCGGGTTCACGCCATTCTCCTGCCTCAGCCTCCCGAGTAGCTGGGACTACAGGTGCCCGCCACCACACCTGGCTAATTTTTTGTATTTTTAGTAGAAACGGGGTTTCACCGTGTTAGCCAGGATGGTCTCGATTTCCTGACCTCGTGATACACCAGCCTCGGCCTCCCAAAGTGCTAGGATTACAGGTGTGAGCCACGGTGCCCAGCCTCAAATATGTTTATGTATGCATTAGCACACTCCAATATTTGAATCAGTATCTGGGGGCTTACTATATATACAATACATGTGTGGTGTGCTGAATGTAGTGTTATGTTCCATTAGATAGTCTAACATTTATTAACCTATTAGATAAATATAGATAAATATGTGTGTGTAAGTGTGTGTTTGGATATACACACTTACAGCCAAAATGTGTGTATGTGGGAAGAGAAGGCAATTTTTTTAATTTGAAGTTTTTATATAGTAGGGAAAATTGAAACAACAGGATTTCAGTAGGTAAGAAATGGGATAATTTAAATTAAAGAATATTAAGCAGCATGGAACTTTGCAGTTTGGTGCAATAAACTGACAAAAAAGTTTATATGGGAATAGTGAGAACATAACAAAACTACAATTTGTAATATGCTTTAAAAGTAGTAGATAATGAAATTGAAGGAAAGATGGGCATCACGGTTAAGAGAAGAAAATTGGACTTGATTCCAAGAGGGGAGCCAAATAAATCCTTGAGTCCTCTACTGATATGATATAATCAGAATTTTATAAGGATTGGTCTGGCTTAAATGGACAGAGACTGCAGAAGTTAAAAGAATTGGTTGCCAGATGGTTATAGTAATTTAGGGTTGGGGTGATAGAGCAGTGGACTGAGGTAGTGCAGTGGTACAAGCAGAAACAATCAAGGACAGGCTTTCATGGGAAACTGAATTTAGAAGATGGAGGGAAAATATCCAGACAATCATTTTTCTGAGATTTCTAGTTTAGTATGTAAAAATTTAT
Organism: Homo sapiens; assembly: GCF_000001405.40. NCBI lineage: Eukaryota > Metazoa > Chordata > Mammalia > Primates > Hominidae > Homo > Homo sapiens. The sequence continues at coordinate 38,623,256 of NC_000011.10, read as the reverse complement.
GGTAGTACTAATATAGACGGGTGCAGGGAGAGAAAAGCTAATATTATAGAGTGAATGCCAATTTTAATTGCTGAACTTGTGATTCTTGAATGAAGAAGTTTAAAATGGAGAAATTTCAGCAAAAGCTGAGATTTATATACATAGGAGATTATGTATATAGGAGTGAGGCCCATGTGAGAGGTCAAACCTAGAGCATCTCAATGAAATCCCCCGTATTTCATATATTTCAATGCCAAACCTGAAAATTACACTAGACTTCTGAATTTCAAGTCAAGGAATGCTCATTTAAAATATCTCCTTTAGTTAGATCTCCTTTTATCAATTCTGCCACTTTCATTAATTCTACCAATTCTGCTGAAAAGAATAAAAATGCATTTTCACAGAGTGATTCCAATGACTGGAATCCAACTTATTATTTATATATAATTGTGTTGTCTTTATTTAGATTAAATTTGTTGTTTTGTACAAATCAATGGTACCTAAGAATTTAAGCTATCCAAAATCTCTGTTTTGTAAATTGTCTTTAGTTATTAAGGAAATAAAGCTTGTAGTCTAATTTGTGGAATCAGGAAGTTTGCTTTGACTAAAATAAAAGAAGAATGAAGTTATAATCAATTTAATGTCTTCTGCTCTCAGTAAAAAGCAAGAGGCACATCTTACCTTATAAGCTAAATGCAAAACAGATGTTGTTCAGTGAGTTTGACTCTGGACCATTTTAATTTTTTACTTTTAAGACAACATTTAAAGATGCCTGATTGTTCTAATCACAAGTGTCAACCATTCATTAGCTTAATGGAAAAAGGTAACAGATTATGTATATAATAGTCACCCGGGGAGAAGATATACATTTACAGCCCATAACTCTTATGTAGATAGATTGTAGACATAATAATCTTCCACAGGAGAGAGAGAGGTAAACAATTACTCTAATGGAAAGCAACAAAATGTGATTAACATTAAATGCTACCCAAAGACAGATATTTGTGGTGAGAATGACATAGAGGACAACTGTATAACTTGGCCTTATATTTTGGACAACATAGGTAAGGAAAACAGCTGTGGTGAGATGCCTCAGGTGAAGAACTGTTGTAGATTTGCTTTTTATTTTTGAAGGAATCCAAAATATATTTTTCCTGGCATGGTATTTTCCTGGCATGGTAAATTGAGTTCCTAAAGTGGATTCCAAAAAATAACTCAATTCTCTGTGAATATGGTGAGCTATAACTCCCATGATTGTATTAGTTTTTATGTCGCAGTTGATGTTAAGATAGAGAGATTATCTTCCTGGTCTTTTGTATATAATTACATGAGCCCTTAAAAGCAGAGAACTTTCTTCATCTGATGGCAGAAGTCAGAGAGATTTAAGGCATGAGAAGGACTAGATGTACAGCTGATGAACTGATGATTCAATGGACCACGTGAAAAGAAATTTGGTGGCTTTAGGAACTGAGAAGGATCACTGGCTAAAAGCCAGCAAGCAAAGGAGAACCTCAGCCATACCCTGCAACGAACTAAATTATGCCAATAATGGAATGAACTTGAACAATTCTCCCATGAGAATCCATGTGACGAACAACTTGAGTTTGAACTTGTAAGACCCTGAACATAGAACTTAGGCAAGCCCACCTCTAGACTTTAGACTTATGGAACTCTGACTTTGAAAAAATAACGTTAGAGAAAAAATTATTGGTTTTATTAAAGCTCAAAAATCAAACACTTGCCATGTGTTAAATGCCTACATTATGGACTTTTAAATATCATTTTAAATATAAAATATGAATAGCTGTGAATAAGCAAAATGAAGATGTGCCATGATTCAAAGTTAATTTAAAAGAGAGATGCTTAGGAAGAGTGCAATAATATAGCCAAAATGCCATAATGACATTTTTGGTCAACGACAGGCCACAATGATGGTGGTTCCATAAAATTATAATGGAGCTCAAAGATTCCTATCACCTAGTGACACTGTAGCTGTTGTGAGGTCGCGGCACAATGCATTACTCACTTTTTTCTAATGTAAACACCCTGCTGCTCTGCTGGTCGTAGAAATGTCTAGCACATACGATTATGTGCAGCATATAATACTTGATAATTACAATAAATGACTATGTTACTGGTTTAGGTATTTACTATGCTCTACCTTTTATCATTATTTTAGTGTGTACCCCTTCTACTTATAAACAAAAGAACATAAGTGTAAAACAACCTTAGGCAGGACTTTCAGCACATATTGCAGAAGAAGGCATTGTTGTCATAGGAGATGACAGCTCCATGTGGATTATTGTCCCTGAAGACTTTCCAGTGAAGCAAAATGTGGAGGTGAAAGACAGTGATTTGAATGATCCTGACCCTGTATGTGTTTGTGTCTTCGTTCTTAAAAAAATATTTAAAAAGATATATATGTATATATATATGAATTTTAAATAGGAAAACGCTTATAGAATAAGGACATAAATAAAATATTTTGTACAGCTGTACAATGTGTTTGTGTTTTGAGCTCTTATTACAAAAGAGTAAATAAGTTAAATAAATCAAGTTTATAAAGTTAGACATTTACAGTAAGCTAAGGTTAATACATTATTGAAAAAGAAACTTTTTTTATACATCTACTATATAGTAGTGCACAGTAATGTCCTAGATCTTCACATTCACTAAACACTCACTCACTGGCTCACCCAGAGCAGCTAGCAGTTCTGCAAGCTCCATTCACGGGGTCTATACGGTATAGCTTTTTTAAAAAATATATTTTATATTGTATTTTTACTGTACCTTTTCTACATTTAGATATGTTTAGATACACAAATACTTACCTTTATAATTGCCAACAGTATGCAGGACAGTAACATGCTGTATAGCTTTACAGCACAGGAGCAACTGGTTGTACCATGTAGCCTAGGTGTGTAGTGGGCTGTACCATCGAGGTTCATGTAGGTACACTTGGTGATGTTTGCACCAAGACAAAATCACCTTATGGTACATTTTTTAGACTGTATCCTTGGCATTAAGTAACACATGACTACACATATATCTTTATTTTGCATATTAAGTATTAAACTGAGAGAGTATTTCAAAAAAATATATTTGACTTATGTAGTCAGGCTTATCAATATATGACAAAATGCAACATGTGGCTAAATATAAATTCTGAGTTTATATTTTCTTTAAATTACCATCATATTATTTATTAAGTATCTAATTTATTTGCACTTACATATGAGAAAAAGAATGGTACTTTTGATCTACAGTTGCCTCATGCTAAGATTTCTCTTAATAAGGACTTAAATATTTAAGAAATTTCCTCTTTATAAGGAAATAAATAAAAATAAAGGTCATTTTATTGCAAAAGTGATTAAAAGAAATAACAAATATTCATCTCTATTTTTAAGGGAGGCTGATCCCGGGTGCACTGTGGCAGGTGGCAGTATAGATTTTTGTGAAGCAGCAGTGTGCTGTGATATGAGTAGCAGATGAAGAAGGAAGGAAATGAAGTCACTCAATTCTTATATGGCATAATTACTCTTATATTTGGAATCAACATGTGGAATTTCTAGATGTGAGTAACTCATTGTGCTGTGCCCTCCTGCTCATTTCTTTTCTATAGCTACAATGTCACTAGGTGATAGGAATCTTTTAGCTCCATTATAATTTTATGGAACCACCATCATTGTGGCCTGTCATTGCCCAACATTCCATTGTGGCATTTTGGCTATATTATTGCACTCTTCCTAAGCATCTCTCTTTTAAATTAACTTTGAATCATGGCACATCTCCATTTTGCTTATTCATGGCTATTCATGAATATTCACGTTGCATTTCCCATGTATTTTTGTCTCTCTCTTGTGATTATTTTGCCACTCATTTCTAGTCAAATGTGTCTGTCTCCCAAATTTGTGGAAAATAATAATTCCTTGATTTTCCTTTCTCATTCTTTTACGGTTTTTTTTTACATTTTTTTCTCCCAGTATTATGAAGCTTTTTGAATCTGTTGGGCATGTATTTTTTTCTATATGATCACACTGAAGAATACAAAATATCAACTCTGCCTATTTATATTAGGGTTACTTATTTTGATGGCTTTAATATTAAGTGATCATCATTTTAAATCATGATTCAAGAGTAATAAATGTGACTTGATCTCTACTTGATTGTACAAATGAACCATGAAAATGATCCAGCATGATTTGCGGATGGCCAGATTAGAAAACACTTTGAATTATTAGAGTTGAAGCTTCTGAATAAAACAGATAAGTTATTTTTCACTCACTCTCTCCACTATCTTCATTTTTCTTTGTCTTCCTTCCATGATATTACAGTTAAGCAATTTTCAGTAAGATCACAAATCTGTTTCTAAATGCAAAATACTTTTTAAATTCCTTATCACATAACCTATCAACATCTGATAATATTGGCTATTCCCTCCTTAAATCACCCTTACCTCTGAATATCTTAGTTTGTGTTCTTCCTACTCTCTCCATCATTTCTTGCCCATATTCCTATTTGTTCCCATCCTCTTCTTCCCAGTCATGAAATGTTGGAGTCCTCAAAGTTCTCTCATAGGTCTAATTTCTTATTCTGTATTTTCCCTGTAGACGATCTCAACTACCAATTATAAGCAGATGACTACTCCTTATTTTGCATAACGAATATAGACTTCTCTCAATTTATCTAACTGCCAGTTTACAATTTCCTCTTAGATGCCTGACAGCAGCTGAAACTTAATATGCCAGAAGCCAAGGTTTCAGACTTTATTCATTTGTTAGTTATCTATCGCTATGCAACAAATTACCACCAAACTGGGTGGATTAGTAAAAATCTTTATGTATTTATTTTCTCTCACAGTTTCTCTAGTTAAGAAATTTGAAAATGGCCTGACTAGATTATTTTGGCTTGAGGACTCTCAGGAGATTCACTTCAGATTTTGTTCATTACTGCAACCATTTGAAGGCTTTATTGCAGATAGAGAATACTCTTCCAAAGTGCCTTAATTACATGATGGACTAATCGGTGCCGGCAGTTATCAGAAGTCCTCAGATACTCTCCACAAGTACGTTTCTTGAGGGTTAAGTATCCTCATAACAACGGGTGACTTCTTCCAGAGTGAGAAATCCAAGAGACAAAGCTGGATGCTGCAAAATTATCTACACAGAATTCTATTGGTTACCCAGGTCAGTCATGATGCAGAAGGAGAAGGCAGGTCTCCAGAATGTGAGGATAATTGGCAGGGCACAAGAAGTCACCGCACTAAAATAGTGAGGATTATTGGAGCCATCTTGAAACCTCACTTCCATACTGCATATGCTTATATTTTTCTATACTTTTGGTGAAAATAGTTTGGCAAGCTAATAATCTAAGAGTCATTCTTGAAAGCTCCCTCCCCTTTAATATTTCATATTCACTTTATTGCTTATCCCTGTATTTTTTGCCTCTTCAATTATGTTTACTTTTATTTTATTTCTCTTTTTATTTTTCTAGAGACAGGGTCTCATTCTGATGCTCAGGCTGGAGTGCAGTTGTGCAATCATCATTCACTGCAGCTTCAAAATCCTGGGCGTAAACTATCCTCCCACTTCAGCCTCCAGAGTAGTTAGGACTGCAGGCACATGCTAACATCCTGGCTAATTTTTTTTTTTTTTAGAGATGGAGTCTCAATATGTTTCCCAGGCTGGTCTGGAACTCCTGGCTTCAAACAATCTTCCTGCCTCAACCTCCCAAAATGCTGGAATAACAGGAGTTGAGCCATCATTCCTAGACTCAGATGTTTCAAATCTACTAATTTATGGATGTTACTGATACCACCTTAGCCCAGATATTTCCAATTGCAGGTGTTTTTATTTGCCTGAAGTCATTTACTAGCACTGCAGTTAAAGTAAACTTTTTAAAACACAAAATACATTGTGCCACATGCCAACTGAAAATATACATGCATACCTCAGTTTTTGGGCCTCACTTTATTGCACTTTACAGATGTTGTATTTTTTTTTTGCAAATTGAAAGTTTTTGGCAATCCTGCATTGAATAAATCTATCAGAGCCATTTTTCCAACAACATATGCTCACTTCATGTCTTTGTGTCACATTTTGGTAATTCTTACAATATTTTAAACTTTATCATTATTATTAAATTTATTATGGTGATCTGTGATCAGTGATCTTTGATGTTAACACTGTAATTGTTTGGGGGCACCAGGAACTCTGTGTATATATAATGGCAAACTTAATCGACACATGTTGTGTATGTTCTGACTGTTCCACCAACCAGACTCTGCCCTGTCTCTCCCTATCCTAAGGCCTCCTTATTCCCTGAGACACAAAAGTATTGAAATTAGGCCAATTAAAAACTCTACAATGTCCTCTACGTGTTCAAGTAAAAAGGAAGAGTCACAAGTCTCTTACTTTAAATCAATAGCTAGAAATGATTAAGCTTAGTGAGATGGCATGTCAAAAGCAAAGACAAGCGGAAAGCTAGGCCTCTGTGCCAGTTACTTACCCAAGTTGTGAGTGCAAAGGAAAAGTTATTGAAGGAAATTAAAAGTGCCACTTCAGTGAACACGCAGACGGTAAGAAAGTGAAACAGCTGACCGGGTGTGGTGCCTCATGCTTGTAATCCCAGGGCTTTGAAAGGCTGAGGCGGGCGGATCACGAGGTCAGGAGTTGAAGACCAGCCTGGCCAACATGGTGAAACCCTGTCTCTACTAAAAATGAAAAAAAAAAAAAATTAGCTGGGCATGGTGGCAGGCAACTGTAATCCCAGCTACTTGGGAGGCTGAGGCAGGAGAATCACTTGAACCTGAGAGGCAGAGGTTGCAGTGATCCAATATTGCGCCACTGCATTCCAGCCCAGGTGACAAAGTGAGACTCCTTCCCCTCCCCCCCCACCCCCCACCCCAGCCCCAATAAAAAAGAAAAATGAAAGTGAAACTGCCCTATTGCTGATATGGAGAAAGTCTTGAAGATCTGGATAGAAGATCAAACCAGCCACAGTATTATTTTAAGCTAAAGCCTAACCCAGAGCAAGGCCCTAACTCTATTCAATTGTATGATGGCTGAGAAAGACAAGGAAGCTGCAGAAGAAAAGTCTGAAGCTAGCAGTTTTGTTCATGAGGTTTAAGGAAAGAAGCCATCTCCATGACACAAAAATACAAGGTGAAGCAGCAAGTGCTGATGAAGAAGCTGCGGCAAGTTATCCAGAAGACCTAGCTAAGATCACTGATGGAGGTGGGTACATTAAACAAAAGATTTTCAATGTAGATGAAATAGCCTTTTATTGGAAGAAGATCCCATCTAGGACTTTTATAGCTAGGTAAGAGAAGTCAAGCCTAGCTTCAAAGGACAGGCTGACTGTCTTGTCGGGGACTAACGCAGCTGGCGACTTTCAGTTGAAGCCAATCCTTATTTGCCATTCTGAAAATCCTAGGGTCCTAATAAATTATGCTAAATTTATTCTGCCTGTGCTCTATAAGGGGAACAATAAAGGATGGATGATAGCATATCTCGTTACAGTGAAGTTTACTGAATATTTCAAGCTCATTATTGAGACCTACTGTTCAGAAAAAAATGATTTGTTTCAAAATATTATCTCTCATTGACAATGCTCCTAGTCACCCAAGAGTTCTGGTAAAGATGTACAAGGAGATTAATGTTGGTTTCATGCCTGCTAATACAATATTCAAACTGCAGCCCTTGGATTAAGAAGCAGTTTCAAATGTTAAGTCTTATTATTTAAGAAATGCATTCCATAAGGCTGTAGCTGCCATAGATGGGGATTCTGCTTATGGATCTGGGCAAAGGAAATTGAAAACTTTCTGGAAGTAATTCCCTTTTCTAGATGTCATTAAAAACATTTGTAGTTCATGGGAAGAGGTCAAAATAACATGAAGAGGAGTTTTGAAGAAGTCCATTTCTACCCTCATGAATGACTTTGAGGGGTTTCTCCATGATGATGGAGAAAATATCTGTAGATGTGGTGGAAATAGCAAGGAAATTAGAATTAGAAGTGGATTCTGAATATGTGACTGAATTGCTGCAATCCTATGATCAAACTTAAACAGATGAGAAATTGCTTCTCATGGATGAGGAAAGGAAGTGGTTTTTTGAGATGGAATCTACTCCTGGTGAGGATGCTGTGAACATTGTTGAAATAACAACAAATAATTTAGAATATTACCTAAACTTAGTTGATAAAGCAGAGGCAGGGTTAGAGAGGATTTATTCCAATTTTGAAAGAAGTTCTACTGTGGATAAAACACTATCAAACATCATTGCATGCTACAGAGAAACCTTCCTTGAAAGTAAGTCAATTGATGTGATAAACTTTATCATTGTTTTATTTTAAGAAATTGCTACAGCCACTTTAACCTTCAACAATCATCACCCTGATCAGTCACCGGCCATCAACAACAAGTCAAGACCTTTCTCCAGCAAAAAGATTGTGACTTGCTGAAAGCTGAGATGATCATTTGCAATTTTTAGTAAGAAAGCATTTTTAATAAAAGTGTACTTTTTTTAGATATAATGATATTGCACACAATAAACTACAGTATAGTGTGAACATAACTTTTATATACACTGGGGAACCCACAGATTTGTTACTCACTTTGCTGGGGAATCCAAAAGTTTTTTTTTACTCACTTTACTGCAATGTTTGCTTTATTATAGGTTTGGCATTTTCCTACTTCACCAGCTACAACTCTTGTGATATTCCCCTGTCTCTATGTTTTCAGACATACACAGAACCATTTAGGTTTTTTGGTTTGCCATAATCTTGTGCACATGGAGATTTAGCTATCCTTCTAACCATATTACTAATTTATTTCATGTTTTCTCAGTTAATTAACATCATATCTCTTTTTTATATCTTACTTCCTCAAGAAAAATTCACATTTCCTCTGACTAGGATAAATTTTGTATAAAATGTTACCAATGCAAGATTCTTGCACTCCTATTTCTTACAGGGTTATAATTTTACTTTTGTGGGGGCTTCCCTTTGGGTATCCTATCTGTATATCTGCATTAGTGTTCACCACATTTTATGCATCTTTGTCTTTGTGATCTTCCATTAAACCAAAAACCAAGAATAGGGAGGTAAGAATATTATAAGATTTTTGCTTATTTGTTTTGCTTTTGTTCATCATCATAAAGCTGACTATCAATGTACTATTAAATACTTACTGAAGAGAAGTCCCTAACTGCTGCTGTGGTGTATACAAAAAAAATGAGTTATGGTATCCAATTGGGTTTGAAAAAGTCAACATAATCATGGTAACATCATGTTTAGGTAAAGGATTCAGTAACATGTGCTAAGGTTAAGGAAAATTGTGTTTTGAGAGAGAGGAACTAGTTCATCTCCATTGTGTTGTATTCCTAACATTTGCAAACTCATAGTACTTAATTCAACTTTCTTTATCCTTTGGCCACATTTGTACAATACTATGCCAATACTCGGCCTATTTGATAACAACCATTGAAAAAACAAAGTACATGGCCTACAAACCCACAGCCAAAATAAATATCATAAGTATACGAATATTTGATCTGGTGAGCTAATTAATCAGTTAATTCATGGCTACACAATAATCCTAGGAAGACATGCAACTCAAACACTTAAGCACCTGGCATATGTAAAATATTATACCATGTGTTTATCTACATAAAAGACCATACGATATGTTCATTTAAGTTGCTTAATGTTTATTCAGTAAGATAACTTTGACATAGCTATTTATAATTTAAGTTAAATTGTAAAAAGTGTCCTAACATGGCATAAAGTGTCTTCCTTATGCTCTAGAACAGTTTTTCTTGAGGGTTGGAAATTTTCAGGCTTATCATTCATCTTCTGCCATTTCAGTAATCCACCAATACTACTATTGCCATTGTACAAAAGCAAAAGAAAATACATGTCTCAGTGAATCAAATGTTGACTTTTATTAAAACACCAGAGAAACTATTCTGATAAGAAAGTCACTGAGTAATACCTGATCCTGTGCCTCTCAGCCCCAAATTTTTAGAAACAAGTTAAATACTTTGCTTGGAGCCTACTATTGTGTAAATTTTCATAGGCAACCTCTTAACCAATAGCTCCAGGTCAAAAACCATCTCCAGCCCGGTAGCATATCTTCATGAACTCAATAATTATCATGAAACTTACATTTTAGCTATTTTGTTTTCTATCCCAGTTAGAGAAAATTGCTAGAATTTTAGAAAAATAAAGTAAATTCACTAGTTTTAAACAATGAGAGCTTTTGTGTGGGTGTTTGTGTGTGTGAGCTTTTAGCAAAAAGAAAAGATGCTAGCTGCCTTGTTCAAACATTTAAGAGAGCTTCTTGACAAACATAAGTTTTATCACAAATGCTGACAAAGCACAGTGGAGAAAGAAAGTGGCAAATCAGAAGGTTAATTGAGGTACAAAATGAAGTGACTGATAGTGTGATTTCAAGTGGATTTGGAAAGGCTGCCTGGAAGAAATAGTATGGAAATATTAAAAATAAGTTGTTCTGTGGAACACAGCATATACAGAAGAAAGAGCTCCAGGCAAGAAAAAACATGATGAACAAAGCATTGCATTTGAAAACTGCCAACTACGTTTGGTAAATAATGAGTCTCGAATGGTGATACTAAATATTCAATGTATGGCAGCATGGAGTAAGCACTGTGAATGTAAATTATTTGCAGTTCATACTATGAGAGAAGGGTTGGATTATATTCTGCAGACAACATATTTACAGCTTTGCATTAGGAACACATAGCCTTAAAATTTATATATTTGTGAATCCAGATGCCTGACGTGCACAAATTTGGTAGTTGACATTAATTTCCAAGAAATTTAAAAATGTATAATTAGGTCTTTTAATTATTATTTTTAAAATTTAACTTAAGTTAATCTTCATAAGAAATCAATTTATATTTATACTAAATATACACTGTTATTCTCCTTGTTCTTATGGTAGGGGAAGAAATAGGGTGAGGAATAATGAAAACATATCAAAACCTCTTCTTCAGTTCATGAATCCCTCTTCAGCATGTAATAATATACCTGTTTTTCCACAACTCAGAACTTTTCAGAAGTGTGTAATCACATGATATCAAACTCTAGAAGGTTTATAAGATTTCATTCTAATATTAATCTTTTTTTTTTCTATCCTAAACATTATTTCTCTAAGCAAAAGGGATTTTTTTTATCTTGATTGAAACAGGTTTAAGTCAAATGCAGAATGCTAAGAAAAGGTTTGCATTGCTTTGCTGACATCTCACGAAGTCTACAAAAGCCACTCTGAACACTCAATAACATCAAATGTTAGCCATTATATTTTGGTTCATCTTTAGATATTTTTCTATGTTTTTTTTTTGCCTTTGCGAGACACTGTATGAGTCTCAGGTAATTAGAAGCTGATTAATCAAATTTGTAGCACCTCATTTGGTTGCTTATATTTTTTCACTGCTGCAATGAATTCTGCCTTTAGCTAATGGATGATGGTGCTGATAACAGGACGTTTTAATCATGGTGCACTGATGATAGATGGTCATTCTAGTTAATCAAATGTCGTTTGACAGAGTATTGTCTTTGGAGTTTGCACAGGTAGTGATTCAAAGGTGGGAGGCATGTGGTGGAGTAGAAGAAACATTGTAAGATTGCTTTAAATAATGTTGTTTGACCATGACATGAAAAATGAGAGACTGAATCCTGCAAGAATTTTTAAACCAACATTTACAATAGTTACTAAAATAAACTGTGATAAAAAACTTATAAGAAAAATTATATTTAGTTAAACATTACATACTGAACTGTTTTGCAAATCAACTGTAGTTTTACATTTTACTTGATTTAACTACAAACATATGCTAAGAGAATGGCCAATATACTGTGAATTTATCTATTGTCATTTTTGGAAGGATAGATGCCTGGCCTATGAACCTTTGTTTTAAAAACTACAGATTTTAAAAATGCACAAAATATACAATTTGTTGAATAGATTTTACTTAAAATTTGAGAAAGCTTCATAATATTTTTATGATTTTTTACATGTATGAAGAGACAGATACTATCACTATAAACATAATTGTGGGACTTCTTGTTTAGCATGGTAGAGGGTAGGGTAAAACCACAGTTCAAAATTTTCAAAAAATAAAAATAGAAAAGTAGCAACAATATTAAGCCTGTAGCTAATGGAAGAGTGATGTCATACAAAAAAATAATCTTTAGGGGTTTGGCTTGATGCAGCCAAGTAAAATATGTAGGAGCATTGCCTAAGCTAATATTCTCTTATAGAAAATAAATCCCCAGGAACTCATGTTAAACCAGAAGGGCAAAATCTATGGCCATAAAGGAAGAGGATTTGTCTTTATAAAAATTATCCCTTGTGACAATAATGTTGTATAAATAAGCATCTCAAAACTCAGACATAAAGGAACTAATTATTTATTTTGCTAATGATTCTGCAGTTAAAAGACTTAGAATAAAAAAGGGATAATAGTACTTTTTATGTGGAGAACCCTTCTGTGGCTTTAACCACGTAATAAACTTTAACATTACCAGTTATAAATCATGTTGATGTGTGCCCTTCCAACATGATGCTGCGAAAGTTACTCTTTGTCTCTGTGCTATTCTTCTTACGTTTAGTTGAATCATGAGAACACATCTGATATATCCAAAAAAGGGACATTCTTTAAAATAACTGACCAGTAGTCTTTGAGATTCTCAAGTTTATTAAAAACAAGAAAAGATTGAGGAACGGTTACAGATTAGAGGGAACAAAGGAGACATGGGGACAAAATGCAATCTGATATTGTGAATTATATCATGGAACAGAAAAAATAAACATTTGTATAAAACCGGTAGAAATCTGATTAAAGTCTGCAGTTTAGTTAATGTTACAAATGTTAATTTCTTAGTTGTGATAAGTGCCCCATGATTATGGAAGATAGGAGAAGCTGGGTGTAGCTCTAGCAATATATAGGGTTAACAGACTTAACATATCAAAGAGAATTAGTGAAGGAAGGTTCCAAACTGAAATTCAAAAATAAAACATAAAAAGTATTTTTAAAGAGTGTTTAGGAGATATGTGGGATGAAATAAAATCTTCTAAAATAACTGAAATTTGAATTTCAGAAATAATGTAGAGAGAGAATGGGGATGATATAATATTTAAAGTTATATTTTTGAAAGTTTCCAAAAACTGATGAAAAACATTACTCTGTAGAGCCAAATACCTTGTGGATTCTAAGCAGAATAAATATAATGGAAGCCATTCATAGGCACCCCAGAGGCAATCTGCTTAAAGCTAAAGTGAAAAGAAAATATTCAAAACAGAGTGGGGCAGGGTAGAGCATCATAACAACATAAAAAACACAGCAAAAGACTCAACAGAAGTGACAGAAGTCAAGGAAAGGGAAGGATACCTTTAAACTTTAGATGAGAGAAGAAAAGACGGGAAAAAAAAGCTGTCAACCTAAAATTCTATACCCAGTGAAAACATTCTTCAGAACTAAAGGCAAATTTTACTTGTCCTGTGAGTGCAGCAAGAAAAACAAATATCAGAAAGGATAATTGTATGAGTACAGAAAGCAATGTTAATTATATCTCATGACGTTAAAAATTATGTAAAATCAAAATGCATGATAACAGTAATGTAAAATGCCACAAGGATGTAAATGGAGGAAAAGTATTCTAAGATACTAGCAGTATCAGAAGTTGCATTTAGAATGTTATAAGAACTACATATTTTTATCTCGGGTAAGATCTTAGAGGGGAAAAAGTATTCTATGAAGTTAATTAACAAAAATATATATATATATGCACCAATAAAAAGGGGACAAATGGTGGAAAAAAGAATGTATAGAAATTGGGTCAAATAAAAAAATAGAGAGATGTTGACATAAGCACAACCATATTGTTAGTTATGATAAATGTATATGAACTATACTATACATTAAAGAATAAAAGTATAAAAAATTTGTAAAACCAAACTACATATGCCATTTATAAGAGGCATATTAAGTATAAGGAAACATTAGTTGAAAGTAAAAGAAGGAAAATGATATGCCATACCACAGCACTCCTAGAAGAGTTGGCCTTTCTATACCAATATCATCCAAAGAGGAGTTTAAGGCAAGATGCAGTATTAATGTCAAAGTTGAAAGTTTGAAATAATAAAGGAGCCAATTCACTCCATATAACACTTTTAAATACACATGCATCCCAAAATATATATTTGAAATGTAAAGATAAAATTTGAAATAACTGAAAGGAAAAATTAATACTCTATTGTATTGACACAATTTAAGGCATATCTGTTATTGTTAACAATATAACAACATAATAATAATATTAACAATATGATGTTTGATATGGTTTGGATGTTTATCTCTTCCAAATCTCATGTTGAAATGTGATCCTCAGTGATGGAGGTGGAGCCTAGTGGGGGGTGTTTGGGTCATCGGGGTGGATCCCTCATAAATGGGTTGGTGCCCTCCCCACTGTAATGAGTGAGTTCTTACTCACTTAGTTCACAAAAGAGATGGTTGTTCAAAAGAGCCTGACATCTCTCCTGTTATCTCTCTTGCTATGTCACATGCCTGTTCCCCCTCCACCTTCTGCCATGAGTAAAAACTTCCTGATGCCTCACCAGAATCGAAGCAGAATCCAGTACAGCCTGCAGAACCATGAGCCAAATAATCCCCTTTTCTTTATAAATTATCCAGTCTCAGGTATTCCTTTATAGTAACACACAACGGACTAATACCGTGGTTCATAAAGCACTTTTCAAGACGTTTTAAAACACCAAAATCATTCAGAGAATCTTCACTGATGACAGTGAAATGAAGCTAAAAGTAAACTCAGGAAAGATAAACAGAAAACTTCCCTCCTATTTTAAAATTAAGCAACACACTTCTAAATAAGCCATAGGATAAAGGAAACCCCATGGAAAACACGGAATTTATTTAACTGAATAATGGAGATATGATATATGAAAATTTGGTGGATGAATATACATCAATGATTGGATGGAAATTTGTAGCCTTCAGTTGATATGTCAGAAATGAAAATACTCTAAAAACAATCTATCTATCACAGGAAGTTCCAAAAAGAAGAGAAAATGAAACCCTCAACAAAATTAATGAGAAATAATTAAGTATAAGTATAAATTATTGAAATGGAATATGGGATCATAAGGAAAATAAATAATGCCAATATCTGATTCTGAGTATACCAATGTTAAATTTACATGAGCTAGATTCAGTCATTTCAAAATGCACATAAACTTCAAAAGATCATGTTGTATACCATAAATACATAAAATAATATCTATTAATTTTAAATAATAATACTAATATAAGATCAAGAAAAACATTTAGAAAATATAAATTATCCAGAGAAAAAATAAAAAAACAAGAGATTACTATAAGTCATGCAGATATTTAAAAATAAGGAAAGAATACTAAGAACAATATTTGACAAACTGGGCAACTTTTTAAGAAACAGGACATCAAAACTAACCCATAAAAAATAGAAAATCTGGGCATTACTAAATTTAGTTTAAACAATTCAATTCATTAGTTAAAACAGGGGTCCCCAACTCCCCCGGGCTGCAGACAGGTACTTGTTTGTGATCTGGATAACAAAGCAGGAGATGAGCGGCCAGCAAAGGAGCATTAGCACCTGAGCTCCACATCCTGTCAGATGGGTGGCAGTGGCATTAGATTCTCATAGGAGTGCAAACCCCATTATAAACTGCGTATGTGAGGAACCCAGGTTGCGCACTCCTTATGAGAATCTAATTAATGCTTGATAATCGGAGGGAGAATAGTTTCATCCTGAAACCATCCACCAAACCTGTCCATGGAAAATATTTTGTCTTTCACAAAACAAGTCCTTGGTGCCAGAAAGGTTGGGGACCACTTGAGTTAAAATATTTACATTCAAGAATTGCAGAATTCATTCTTTGGCAGTAAATTCTACCCAGTATTTATGAAAGTGACAGCATAAGTCTTACAAAAACAAGTTCTGCCAGGAGGCCAAGGTAGTGTTACCGGTAGGTCTTTGTTCTTAGAGCTCACATAGAGCTCCCAGGATGGTGGCGGCGGCTCCCAAGATGGCAGCAAGCCTTTCGTTCTCTGACCTGAGGCTCTTGGCCTCACAGATTCCAAAGAATGGAACCTTGGGCCATGCCGTGAGTGTTATAGCTCTATTAGAAGGCGTGGGTCATGGAAAAGAACCATGGAACCCAGCGACTAATGTTCAGCTTGATTAGGATGAACCCGGGTACTTGGCCACACAGGAAAAAAGGTGAGCCTCTAGCCTGAATGGGAGCAGCAATGGGCACCTCCCTGGATCAGAAATGCAGTGGACACCCTGCTGGATCCAAAGTGGTGGAAGTCAATGGTGGGTCTGCAACGGCAGCAAACAGCAGTGGTGGAAGGTGAGCAAAAGCTCAGCTCGAGCTGGAACAAACATGGACCAGAAGAGTGTTCAGTTGCAAGATTTAATAGAGTGAAAACAGAGCTCCCATACAATGGGAGGGGACCCAAAGGGGGTTGCCCACTTCTGGCTCGAATGCCTGAGGTATATGTCCCAATCATTGTCCCTCCCCCTGTGCTCTCAGGTGATATATTATTTGACTATTTCTTTATCTCCTGCTCTTGGCCTAATTTGTATTTTAGTGAGCCCTCTTTACTACCTGATTGGTCGGGTGTGAGCTGAGTTACAAGCCCCATGTTTAAAGGTGGGTGAGGTCACCTTCCCCAGCTAGACTTAGGAATTCTTAGTCGGCCTAGGAAATCCAACTAGTCCTGTCTCTTAGTACGCCCTCTCAACAGGAAAACCCAAGTGCTATTGAGGAGGTTGGCCGATGACAGTTCTTAACTGCTTCCTGCTGAACTGGGGCGTAGTAGGGGTCATGCAGTTGAAATTTCCTCAGGAAGGGTGCCTTTGATGTCATTAACATTGGAGCACGGGCTAGTTGGCCAGTCCAGGGGTCGGCGGGAGATCTTGGTCATGGACTGCATCTGGGGCTCCATTTGAAGAATGATTTGTAGTTTTACAGCTTTGATTCTGGAAGAGACAAACTTAACAAGGAGGTTAAAGATACAGGGATTGATATGTATGGCCTGAAGTGACGGTGAATATTTCTTTGCCACATTTCACAGGCCCTGACTATCTACTTGATAGTTTTGAAAAGTCCTCATCCAGTAAATAATGATTTGGCCATCTGATGGGTGCTATCAAATGCCTAAGTGAAAGGTGTGGTGAAGGATTTTAAGTAATTTCCAATGGTTAGCTGCAGGCAAAAGTATTTTTCCTTCTTTGGTGGCTAGCCATCCTGAGGGGAGGAAACTATGTCCTCTTGAGGTTCCCCATTCTATTTCTTCTGCTGAGTACTGGGGCTTGGTTTCCTGGAGGGGATTACCCCATACTAGGGTTCCTTCTATAAGCATTTCTAATGGAGGGTCCCACCTTGTGGCTCTTTTGGCTTCAATATCCGCTTAGAGGTTCCCTTCTATTTAGCTTTCTTTTCCTTTCTGATGACCCCGGAAGTGTAAGACTGCCACCTCTTTAGTTTCTCTACACCCAATAATATTCTCCTAATGGCTTCCTGATGTTTGATAGGTGTTTCCTCAGAAGTTAGGAATTCCTTTTCTCTCCATATTGCTGCGTGGGCATGGAGGACTAAGTAAGCATACTTAGAGTCTGTATATATATTTAACCTTTTTTCCTTCTCCTAATTCTAGTGTATAATAGCCCCTGCTTTTGCTAGGATGTTTCTTCCTAACAAAGGAGTGGGGCTTTCAGGCATAATTAGAAAGTTATGTGAAAGGAGTAAAGTTCCCCAGTCACAACTTAGTGTCTGGGAGAAGTATCTAGTGAATGCCTGTCCTAGGACCCCTCGGATAGTGACAGATCTAGAGGACAGTTGTCCAGGACAGGGGAGTAAGACTGAGAAGGCCGTGCCAGTGTCCAGGAGACAGTTAGCCCCCTAGGCCTCAATGGTCAAGCATACCTCTGTGAGGGTGATGGCATGGGCTGGCGCTTGCCCCGGGTACCCTCAGTCCTGCTGCTGGATCATTCGGTTAGTGGCTTCTGACTCAGAAGTCCTTCGTCTCCTGGGGCAGTGGGCCTTCCATGATTCCCTTGACATAAAGGGGCACGAACAAGGGGACAATCTTTTTTAAAGTGTCCTTGTAGACCGAGGTGGAAGCAAGCCCTATTAGGCACTTGATTTGCCTAGACTTTCCCTGTTCCAGAGCCTCAAAAGTCCTCTTGCCTGAGGGCCATGACTAAAGTGGTGGTGCCCCCTTTTTTTTTAATCCCATTTGTCCCGTTCTGCCTGCTCCTCCTGATCTCTATTATAAAAAACCGAGATTGCCAATTTCCATAGGGTTTCTAAGTTTTACTCTGGGCCTAAGGTGGACTTTTAAAGTTTTTTCTAATGTCTGCAACTGACTGAGTGATAAACTTATCCTTTAAGATTAGTTGACCTTCGATAGAGTCAGGTGACAGAGAGGTATCATTCCTCAATGCCTCCCTTAGTCTCTCCAGAGAGGCAGTAGGATTTTCTTCCTTTCCCTGTGTTATAGTGGACATCATTGAATAATTTATAGGCTTCTTCCTAGTTTTCCTTAGTCCTTTTAGCACGCAAGTTAGCAAATGTCGGCAGCACCAATCTCCATGTTCTGATTCTGCGTCCCAATGAGGGTCTACACTGGAAACTGCCTGCTGGCCTGTGGGGAATTGTTCTCTTTCCTCTGTTGTCCTCTTTGAAGCCACAGGTCCTATCACTGACCTGACTGAGATACCAGAGATTGCCAAACTCTCAGGCTGCAGTTATGGCAGCACTTCTCTCATTTGGGGTTAGTGTCTGATCTAGCAGTAACATTATATCTCTCCATGTCAGATCAAAGGATTGTCCTAACCCTTGTAAAAGCATCAAAATAGCCATCAGGATCATCTGATAATTTACCTAGGTCTATTTTAATTTGCTTCAAGTCTAACAGGGAAAAAGGCACATATACTCTGACTGGGCCGAATTCTCCAGAATACATCTTAGGGGCGTTTTTGCCTTAGGGGGAATGTTTCCCATCTGAAAAAAGAATATAGGGATGCCAGCACCTCTAGTCATTTTCCGATGAGCATTAATCCTAGAGCATCCTTTATTGTCCTAATGCTTATTCCTTTCCAGGGTGCGTAACCACCCATGGACCTCTGCTTATCGGATTAATTACACTCATCAATGTAGCAGTCCTGCACCCCTTTTCCTGCCTTTCTTGACCACAAAGAAAGGGGTCCCAGCTGCTGGATTCTAGTGGTCCTTTACCAGCATGCTCAACATTGCCTTTGTGCTCAGGGGTGAGTCCTAGAGCTGGGCTGGGTTCCTGAGTATTTCATGACAACCCAGCTACCCCATCAAGATGCATTCCCATAAACAACCGTTCTTATGCAAATTCGTTTCAGAGAGGGTGTAGGTAACCTTTTGAGTCAGGATTGACATAGAGTTTTTTTGATTCTGTAAGTGCTTTAAGGCTTGGCTGAGTGCAAACAGCTCGCATGTTTGAGCAGACCAATTATTAGGCAATTCTCCTAACTCTGCTTCCACAAGAGTCTCCCTATCAATTACTGAATACCCATCGTGGTTTTTTTCCCTCAATCACCTGGAAGACACCATCTATCTCCTGTCCTGAAGGGAGTTCCTCCTAGGTCTGGTCAAAACTTTGTATGGTAATTAAGATCTAAATCCCTCGTTAGGAAACCTGCTGGGTTAAGGGAATTTTCAGTGGTTAATGTTAAATCACATTTTTCAAATGGAATAGCCCCATACTTTAAGATTTTTGAGTTAGTAAGTTACTTTTTTTTTTTTTTGACTTAGGATTGTTCTGAACTGGTGAGGTGTGCTCACAATGAGGTTTCCTCTAAACGTTATTTTTCTACTTTCTTCTGTTAGCAAAGCAGTTGCTGCTACAGATTGAATGTATTTGGGCCATCCCTTTAATTTACTCAATTCGCTTTCATCCTGATGTATTATTTTGTCGCAGACCCAGTTCCAGTTGTTAAAGTACTGGGTCATCAGTTCTAAGGCCCTGTCCATGGAGCCAAGGCTTGGAGATTATACTGCAGAGGGGTAAGCTGGGTAGAAATTGGGGGAGGAGAGCATCTTACACAATGGGGGAGCAATCCTCCTAGCCATTTACAAACTTGGGGACATGGCTTATAATAGAACTTGGGCCCTGGCAAGGGTGGTGGGGAATGGGTCCCACATAACTGCCCATGTTGAGAACTATATACTTAAATTTGGAGGGACACCAGGACAAGACTCCCTGGGTTCATAGCCTAGGTGCCTAAGGACACAGCGTAGAACTTCCTTAGATCCCTTTGGAGATACAACCTGATCTAATACTTGGGAGAGGAAGCAAAAGTCTGAAGCATTAGCATCCAGGAGGCAGGGATTGGAGGAAGTAGATTCAGTGGTAAGGATAATTTTGGGGCTACACTTTCAAGAAAGTCATGGTCAGAACCCAGGAGGTATGGATCAGAAGGAGAGGTAAGGGCGCACATATGGGCGACTGTTGAGTAGAGATTTCTGGCTGTGCCATGATCTTGACCAGCCAATGCCGGAAGTTTGGGATGACAGCTTTCTGCCTCCAGTCAACCCTTGGCTTCCCCAGGAAAATTGTGAAAGCAGAAGCTGGTTCCAGGCAGACCAATTCTCCCAACCCAGAAGGGTTGGGCATTGTTAGAAAGCCTTTTCCCAGGAAGCCTCATACCAGAATCTTTAGTACAGCAGCCACGCTAATTGTTCTTAACTGGCCAACAGGTGTCTGATATTTTCCTCCAATTCTAAGGAAGGACAGGATAGAATAGCAAGCAAAAGTGGAGTGATATTACTCACTGCTTTGGAGAATCCCCTTACAGGCCACCAAATGTTACCAGCAGGTCTTTGTTCTTAGAGCTCCCAAGATGGTGGTTGCCACTCCCAAGATGGCAGCAAGCCTTTTGTTCTCTGACCTGAGGTTCTTGGCCTCATAGATTCCAAAGAATGAAACCTTGGGCCATGTGGTGAGTGTTATAGCTCTATTAGAAGCTGTGGGTCATGGAAGAGAACCATGGAACCCAGCAACTGGTGTTCAGCTTTGTTAGGACAAACCCAGGCACTTAGCCGCACAGTAACAATGTCTTCTAGTCTGAACAGGAGCAGCAATGGGTGCCTTCCTGGATCAGAAATGAAGTGGATACCCTGCTGGATCCAAAGGGGTGGAAGTCAATGGCCGGTCTGTGACAGCAGTGAACAGCAGTAGTGGACAGTGAGTGAAAGCTCAGCTCGAGCTGGAACAAACATGGACCAGAAGAGTGTTCAGTTGCAAGATTTAATAGAGTGAAAACAGAGCTCCCATACAATGGGAGGGGACCCAAAGGGGGTTGCCCACTTCTGGCTCGAATGCCTGGGGTATATATCCCAATCATTGTCCCTCCCCCTGTGCTCCCAGGTGATATGTGATTTGACTGTTTTTTTTTTTACCTCCTGCTTTTAGCCTAATTTGTATTTTAGTGAGCCCTCTTTACTACCTGATTGGTCGGGTGTGAGCTGAGTTACAAGCCCCATGTTTAAAGGTGGGTGAGGTCACCTTCCCCAGGTAGGCTTAGGAATTCTTAGTCGGCCTGGGAAATCCAGCTAGTCCTGTCTCTCAGTAGGAGGATTGTTTGAAGCCAGGAGTCTGAGACAAGCCTGGGCAACACAATGGGATGCAATCTGTACAAAAAATTAAAAATTAGCCAGGTGTGGAGGTGTGTGCCTGTAGTTCCACTATTTGGGAGATTGAGGCAAGAGGATAGCTTGAGTTAGGAGTTTGAGGCTGCAGTGAGCTGTGATTGTGCCACTGCACTCCAACCAGCAGTGCAGGTGAAACATTCCTGTCAGCCTAGGGTCCAGGTGACACAGTGTGACCCTGTCTCTAAAGAAAAACATAAACAAAACAACCCAAAGTTCTTCTGGAGTACAGAAATAGAGTAGATTTCTATATGAAGGTAAAACAAATAAACTTTTAGAAGAAATTCTAAAAGAACATCTTTATGACATTGAATAAGGTTAAACGAGTATGTCACAAATAGTAGACACCTAATTGGTAGGAAATCATAAAAATTAATAACATTCATTTATCTAAATGCAATTAGATTATCTAATTTTTATTGTTGACATCAACAAAATCCTGTGAAAGAATTGAAAAGGACTGACAAATTCTACCTGAAATTATTCGTGAGAGCCAGAAAAGAAATCAGAGAACAGTTTACATCTGAGTGGACCTTAAAAAACGAGCAAACATTTAGAAGTTAGGAAATAAGGCAAGGAACATTCCATGAGGATACAGACACATGAACAAAAGCTCATGGAGTGAAACTACATTCATATTTAGAGGACATATTTAACTAATTGACTAGAATGACTAATATGTAAAATAATTGTGTTTTTCTTCCAAAACTAGTCATAAAACTAGCTTTTTGTGAAACTCATTACATCATATTTTTTTCTGTATTATATAGATTAAAACACACCAAAATAAATTTTAAAATATATAGGACAAACCACTGTACAAAAACCATTTTTAGATGAACAAGGAAATTTTATTAAAGACTGAATATTAGGTGATATTAAAAAATATTGTGATGTTCAAAAGCATTATATTATCATAATGGTTTATACTTTTTTCCAAATTTTACTTTACATAATGTTTTCTAAATACTTCCTGAACTATTTATGGGTAAAATTACATGACATCTGAGTTTTGTCTTAGAAATCTCCTGTTAAAAGGAAAGAAAGAAAGAATGAACTGACAAACAAACAGATAAAGAGAAGAAAAGGGGTTGGTAATGATAAAAATTATGCTACAGATTTGATTGATGACAATCACAATGGGCTTTGCTATATCATCTCATTTTCTGTATATTTGGGATTTTTAATTATGACATATTAAACACAAAACCTATCACGAAAAAAGGAATAAGGAAGAGAAATATTTAACTGTTGAAAACCTTCTGCTGTTCCATGAGTAACTGTTATTCAGAGTATTCCTAATAGTACGTCTTTCAATTCTTAACCTTATTATCCCAAAAATCTACTGTGTCTCATCGAGTTTATTTCTTAGAAAATAGAATGAAGGTTATATTCCGACTTTTTAAAGTAAACTGTGCCTACTTTCTCTGAGACAGAGCAGCAAGGCACACAATGTTTGTTGTGTGTGTGTGTTTATTGTTTGTTCTCAATAAATACTGGAGACATTCTACTATTTTGCAATTTTAATTGACAGAATTCCACCAGTTTATTAGTATAGTTGAGTGTATGCAAATATGTATTTCTTTGCTTGAGAGAAATATAATTCAGATATAAAATACACTATATACAAATATAAAGTTCAAATTTAGAAGTCCTGTGGTGTGTGTGTGTGTGTGTGTGTGTGTGTGTGTGTGTGTGTGTGGTGTGAAATTTTTCTTTGAATCCTTCAAAGATTGAATTGCCTTTCAAAACTACCTTGGGCAAAAAGTACAAATTTCAGTCAGACTTGAAACATAGAGGGTGGTCTTTAGTAATTTAAAGAACTGTAAGGAAAAAAAAAAAAAGACCATAGGTGTTATTGAATATATCCTCAAAAACAAACTCATTGCTTAAAGCAACTTTGATAAAATTTTCTTCATTGTTCTAAATATACAGTCCAGTTGTTTTCTATCAGGTTGGTACTAGCTCCCTCCAATACCACCAATGCATATGGAATATGTGAGGGTGTTTGAATTATCTCAATGATTACAGCATGCTATTGTAGTCATGCTCAGAATGCAATACTGTGGCATGTAGAAATGCTGCTGCTTTATAGAATTGGTCCAGTGTCTCTTACTGCATTTGGAACCAATACACAACACAAAATCAATTTAAAATTTCTCAATTACAGCTGGTTTTTCTGCTTTGCAATCTAACCACCAACAATAATTAATCATTTTGGAATATAAGGATGGCATGAAAGAGCTAATGTGAAACACACACAAACAAGAAAGTTTTGGAAAAAGGGAATTTCTCAGGGCAATATGCATACTTGAAAATCTTGATTACAACGTTTGCACTTAAAGTGAGCTAAACTGTAAACTTAACACGGGATTTTACCTAAGAGATGTGATTATGTTTTCCCTTGTAGAGTTGAAATCAAAGAGGAATTGAGTAAGAATATGCACAATATCCAAAATTCTTATTTAATGTATTCAAAAGTCAAGCCAAAATGTCATGAAGCTTCTTGGTTAGTTCAGGAGTATTCAGGTCACTTCTTCATACAGTTGAAAATAAACTCTGTGTAACAGCTTCCAAAACTTCTGAAAAAATATTTGACTTAGTCTAACAATAACTTTTATCACAGTAACTAAGTGGAAGGTTCAGTTGAAAGACTATTTCTATGTATATCATAATATAGTTCCACACAATGAAATCTAAAATTCACATCAACTGCCATTTCTTAAGAAGCCTGCATATGAACGTCTTAAAAATTGTACGGCATTCTTATATCTTAGCACAGTATCTCCTGGGCAAATGCATCTGAGAAAAGAACAGGACTCAAGGGTCAGTTTCTCATCTTTTTCCTGCCGAGCCCATTCAAGCACGAAGCTTCCTTTTGAAGACAGAGGGAGCTTTGTGCTTGAATTCGTTCCGCAGGGAAACAGTCAGAGAACTGAAGTCAATAGATGCAGTGTGTAGTTATGATTGCAGGATGCTCCCCCTAACTGGTGTCACATTTGAATGAAATCTGCAAGCCCCCTTTTCTTTCAGGTGATTCTCAGAAGTGTTCTGTCCTCATTCTCTGTGGCTTCCACAACTTTTCTATACCTAGATGAAAAATCTCTAGCTCAGGGCTAAAAATCCCAAAACTAGCCCCAAGTGAATTAAAGCTCAAGTTGATAGAAAGGGATTCATGATGCCTGTTGCAAACTTAGAATTTCTAACAAAGTATAGGCAAGTAATAATAACAATAACAATAATAATAATAATTTATTTATTTTTATGTGATTAAATGTTACTTTATACTTCAGTCAGTTAACAAACACATATTTTGCAAAGCAGCTATTCAAGTTAATATTTCACTTACAGTCTGGAGATATTTCCCTTGTCTCCAGGTTTTCAAGCTAGATTTATAAGAAAAAAATGATTATACCTACTGCTATTTTTCTCTGACATTAGTAGTTAAAAAGTATATACAGTAATGCTTACTCTCTGCCAAGTACATTTTTAGAACTTTAAATTCTTTATTATGAGGATATATGAGTTAACTGAGAGACAGGGATAACTAAGTCACTTGTCAAAAGTCACATAATTTGTAAGCACTGGATTAAAAACCAGTCTGGCTCTAGAATTCATTCTTATACACATAACATCTCATAGCTAATACAGATCACATGTCATTTACATCCTTCTTAGATTTTGATTAATAAATTTACTAATGCAATGGAATTGTTTTATATAAGAAATGAATTCATAAGTAGAAAAGTCATTCAAGATGCTTTCATTACTAACTTTCATGCATTCACTTATTATCCAAATTTATTTCAATTGTTGTCCCAACCTCAGTGCAAGTCATTGAAGTTGTTGAGATAAAAGTAGAAAATGTCCCTGACTCTCAGATAGTAAAGATGTTTACTTATTTGCCCCCAAACACTGCATAATTTTGTACCATTCACAAATCATCTGCAAGTGGCCAGTTTGTATAAATAAGAACAACGGGCTGACATGAGGTGCCTACAGCAATCTATTAACTCCTTTTAGAATATTAAGGGTTTCTTAGTGTTCCCAGCGGGGTGGTGCTGCCAGAGAATTTCAGGAGTACAGGTATACCTGCTCAGTACAGGTATACCTGCTCAGTACAGGTATAGTGGCCGAAAGACATCAGGAGGTTCTGCCAAAGGAACAGGCAGCTCCCCATAAACAGTAGCAGAGGACAAACCTGTGATGCACTAGGTCAGTGCAATTCATAAGGTAGTAGACACCAAGTCAGGGATGGAGCAAAAGCAGGTTACAAGAGAATACACCTTTTCAAAAACTTGATTCAAGAATATACTCAACCAATCATAAGGAACTTAATATTACTAAAAAAAAATTACCAAACCAAAAAACTCAAATCATCTAGTCATACTTCCCCACATTTCCAAGGCAGGAAACTCCTATATATGTTAAACAATAGATTCTAGATTAGTTAGAAGTCAGAATGGACGTAGACTAAATGCCCATTGTGATACAAGCATCACCTAATAGATCACAGCTCGGCTGAGTTGGCGTGTCTGTGTTGGATCCCTGGTTCCATGACTTTTTAGCTATGGGGTAGTGACAATTTTTTTTTAATGTTTCTAAAGTTTACATTAAAATAGAGAGAGTGATGTAAGCTGCTGCATTTTTGGTCAGGATTAAATAAATTAATGCAAAAGTACCTAAAATAGAGCCTAGTGTTGAGTGAGATCTCAATCACACTTAACTATGTTCATCAGTGGTTTTATGAAAAAGAAACATTACTAATCACACAAGAAAAAACAGGGGGATGTCTGTTGGAGCTATAGGATCAGGGCAATTCAATTGAACTCTCAAATGTAGATAAAAAGGAATCAGAGAGACTAAATCTTTTATTGTGGATGGGTAACTTTATCTACATGCCATAAATACTACAAATTTTCTTTTCACTTTGACATCTTTCTTTTCTGTCACACAGAAATTTGCTTACAGTAATAGGCAATTCTTTTTCAATTTTCTTCTCCCTCCCAAATAAGAAACCTCAACAAAGCAAAGTCCCACTCCTAAAAAATAACAGAGTTTATGATTTCTGCTTCTGGTTTTTGCCACCTATTTTTATACCTCAGTTATATTCTGTTTTCAATAGCATCTGTGTTGGTTTCCCAAGGTTGCCATAACAAACTGTCACAAACTGATTGGCTTGAAACAAGAGAAAAGTATTTTCTCTCACTTGTTTCTGGTGGCTAGAAGTCTGAAATCAAGGTGTTAGTGAGAGACAGGATGAGGTGGATTTCCTAAGCTGACCAAAAATCCCTAAGCCTAGCTGGGAAGGTGACCGCGTCCATCTTTAAACACAGGGCTTGCAACTTAGTTCACACCCGACCAATCAAGTAGTTAAGACAGCTCACTAAAATGCTAATTAGGCAAAAATGGGAGGTAAAGAAATAGGCAATCATCTATCACCTGAGAGCACAGAGGGAGGAAAATGATCAGTGTATAAACCCAGGCAATTGAGCTGGCAATGGCTACCTCCTTTGGGTCCCCTCCCTTTGTATGGGAGCTCTGTTTTCACTCTATTAAATCTTGCAACTGCACACTCTTCTGGTCCGTGTTTGTTACGGCTCAAGCTGAGCTTTTGCTCGCCATCCACCACTGCTATTTGCTGCCATTGCAGGCCCGCTGCTGACTTCCATCCCTCTGGATCCAGCAGGGTGTCCGCTGTGCTCCTGATCCAGTGAGGTGACCATTGCCGCTCCCAGTCGGGCTAAAGGCTTGCTATTGTTCCCACATGGCTAAGTGCCTGGGTTCATCCTAATCGAGCTGAACACTAGTTGCTGGGTTCCACGATTCTTTTCCATGACCCACAGCTTCTGATAGAGCTGTAACACTCACCGCATGGCCCAAGATTCCATTCCTTGGAACCCCAGGTCAGAGAACAAGAGGCTTGCCACTATCTTGGAAGCGGCCCACCGCCATCTTGGAAAGTGGCCCACCACCATCTTGGGAGCTCTGGGAGCAAGGACTCCCTGCTAACATTAGTAGGACAATGCTCTTTCTGGAGGCTCTACAAGTGGGGTTGATGCAGGATTTTGTACTCCTTAATTAGTCTAGATCCAGGTTCTCATCTCAAGACCAGGAAAAAAATTAGGCATGTGGACATCGAAGAGTGAGTGGATTATAATTTATTAAGTGAAAGGAAAGTTCTCAGCAGAATGGGGTCCTGAAAGCAGGTTCCCAGCTGCCCCCGTCACAGTTGAATAAAAGTTTTTATGTAAAAGTGGATGGGGTTGGGTTCCCTATTTGTATAAGGCACAAATTCCCAGTGGCTCCACTCCCTCCCTGCAGTGTGCATGTTGGGCCCTTAGTCCGCTGCAGGCATGTTCAGGCAAGCCCCCTGTGCAAGTTCCCTTAACTGCACAAAACATCTGGTGTAAGCCCTTGTGGGAAAGGTCAGCGACTCTCTGGGTACCCTCCTTTATCTGCCTAGGAGAGTTCTCTGCCTCCTGCCTTTATCAGGTGGGGGTTGGGGGATGTTGTCTCTGTCATGCCTTTCCCTTACCTTCTGGTGTTGCCAGCCAGTGGAGTTCCTTAGTTTGTAGATTCATCAGTAGATTCAATCTCTGCCTTCATTGTCACATGGTATTCTGTTTGTGTAGGTGTGTCTTCTGTTCTTCTGAGGACACCAGTTATATTCAGTTAAGGGCTCATACTACTTCATTAGGACCTCATCTTAGCAAATTATATCTACAATAAACCTATTTTTTAATTTTTATTTTATCTATTTATGTATTTATTTATTTTTGAGATAGAGTTCTGCTCTGTCGCCCAGGCTAGGGTGCAGTGGTGTGATCTTGGCTCACTGCAACCTCTGCCTCACAGGTTTAAGCGATTCTCCTGCCTCAGCTTCCCCAGTAGCTGAGATTTCAGGCAAGTACCATAACATTTGGCTAATTTTTTGTATTTTTAGTTGAGACAGGGTTTCACCATGTTGCCCAGGCTGGTCTTGAACTCCTGACATCAAGTGCTCCAGCTGTCTTGGCCTCCCAAAGTGTTGGGATTACAGGCATGAGCCACTGTGCCCAGCCTACCTATTTTTAAATATGGTCACATTTTGAAGTTCTGCATGGGACATGAACATTGGGATATACCGTTTAACCAAGTAGGCCCTTTTAAAGTAGCTATGTTATGTGTTTGTTTTCATTAGGCTAAAATACTTTGTTTCTTAACATGAAGGACATCATCAGGAGTCTATTCTCTATGACTCTAACAGCATTTACTAAAAGAAAAATTCCTTTGTATTTCATTTAAGGAAAGTTATTAAATGAATAATTCTACTCACTTTTAGACACAACTAAGACATGATATTTTAACTTTCTTTACTGTATAGAAACTACTTTTTCTTACAAGTATGCCAGCAATATAGAAGTTGCTTTCTAAATTAATAAATATTGACATTATACTAGACAATAAGCAATTCTACAGTGTCTTTCATACATTCCAACTAAGCATTTAGAAAAGTGAGTCATATAAATTTGCATTTGACTATGGCAAAATTCAGCAGTTTTTAGATTATGTAACTAGAAACCTGAGCTGGATGCAGCAAGTCACCAAGAAGAGATCACTGGACTTACAGTAAAAAGACCTGAATTCTACTTTTGTCTAAATTAGCTAAACACTATAAGATACTGACTCATTGCTATTCACTGAATGTTTATGCCTGTCCAAATTCCTGTGTTGAAATCCTAACCTCCCTTGTGATGCTATTTGGAGGTAGAGCCTTTGGAAGCTAATCGGATCATGAGGGTAGAGCCTTCAGGAATAAGACTGGTACCCTTGTAAAGAAATTACAGAAAGTTCTCTTGCCCCTTTAACCTTGTGAGGACACAGCAAGAAGGGGCCATTTATGGAACAGGAGGTGGTCCTCACCAGACACCGAATCTGTCAGTGCCTCAACCTTGGTCTTCCCAGCCTACATAAATTTGAGAATAAATTCTGCTGTTGGTAAGCCACCAAATCTATGGTCTTCTGTTATAGGAGACCAAACAAACTAAGATATTCATCATTTGAAGCTTATATCTAAAATAGTTAACAATATATCTGTCTTGTTTTTCAGGGTTATGTGAGATCAGATAAGGGTAATAGTTATAAAGGTCCTTTGCTAAAGATTAAATATGAATAAATATAAGAATGTAAGGCAGACCAAAATCACCAATTCTAAACTAAGCTAGAGGTGGCAGATGTTTTTCAATACTAAACCTATTTGGGTCAATTTGCTGTTGTGTTTCAAAGTACTATTTGTGTAGGAATTCATGGCTATGTTCTGGCTCAGCAGCTAGTGTTGTTATGAATGTATGACCATCTACTTTAGGGATGAAATGTGAGTAGTGATAAGTAATTAAGTATTTGCCATGTGACTTACTGCTTACTGCTGACAAACTGAGACCTCTGAAATATTAAAACATAGCATGCAAATTATTTATCTATTTTATGCACATGTATAACTTATGTTATTAGTATTCTTTTGAGTAGATATTATTTACATTTTATTTCTATTCACACATTTACTAAATGTTCACTGTGGTATACTGGCAAAGGGCATTAAGTTAGGAGCTGGATATACACTGGGGAACATAAAAGACTTGGCTGTTGCCCTCAAGAAGCTTGCATTCTAGCTGAATATATGCTAAGCTAATAAAAGTTCTGCTCTGAAACACAAATATATATATAAGCATGAATATGCCATTATTACTTTAAAAGGTAAAACAGAAAAAGAAAGTCATGGCATAACAAGAGCACAAGTTTTGTGATGGTCTGTTGTTGAATTCCTAACGTTCATATTTAATAGGTTTCTGATCTTAGACAAGTTACCATCTGTCAGACTCAGTTTCTTATTACATTAGGTTATTGTAAAGAATAAATAAGTTAATGCTATAAACTTCCTGATGTTAAGTAGGATTTTCACCAAATGTTAATATCCTTTGGCCATGATTACATAATAATTTGTCACAAATGGTTCTGCAAATTATATATCTTAATCAGTATTTTCACATATATCTGTAACCTACCTTTGAGCATCAAATTCCCTTAAAGTAAAAAAAGATACATTCATCTGAGAAATATATTGGTCTTAAACTTGCATCCACACAGACTTTAAAAAGTCTGCATCCAAAAATTCTTAATATTCATTAGTGTTACATAAAATTTTATCAAAATCAGTCAGTATTGTAGAAAGCAATTGAGACAAAGCTTGTTTAGTTCAGACATTAAACATGAGTCACTGAGAACCATCAGCTTGAACTAATGATTTCAGAATTTTTTAAAAGAAAACATTCTCAGATGATGTTAGATTAATGGAGAATGATTTCTAAAGCAAATGACTTTCCTTCCTCTGTCATAGTTTTATTGGCCCAAATTGAAATGGCCTCCTTTGTGTTATTTTTCAAAAGACATGACTTTTTTTGTGAAGTCAGAGCATGAGAAAATTCTGGAGTATTTAGAAATTCCAGGGTATACAACATGCCATAAAATGCTTGAAGTTTTTAAAAATGAGATTTTGATGTCATCAAAAAACCACAATAAAAATGAAAAACACAAACTGATCTTAATTCGAATTTCTGACCAATAGTTTTGAATAAGTAATTATACACTGGGCTTAAAGTGAAAACTTTAGTCTCATGGATGTTTTCTGCCATAAAATGAAAGCTCCAAACTAGATATTTTTAATGGAAATGCCCACTCAGCCATAACTATTTCACTGCTGTTTCAATGCACTAATAAATCATTGGTAGACCTTCATTCACCAGCAATAGATCTATCTTCAGTGATTATCAACCCTCTTTGTTGAAGTAGGTAATCGAATCATTCAAGCACCTTGAGATTTATGTCTCCTATAGAAGAAATGAAAAAGTTCATGTTCCACAACTTTACCTCATACATAAGCTGAAGACAAGTGCTTCTCTCCAGCAGATGAAGCAGAACTTCATGTACTGGGTAGCTACTGAAATGAAGTTTCAAAAGGAAAGGGTTTCCAAAGGTTATCTTCCGGAAACAATGTTTTTGAAACAATTACTTAGCTGGTTGTATTTAATTTTGTCATCTAAGGGCAATTATGGACTCCTAGAATTCTCAGCAAAAAGAAGTATGTACTAATGAGGGCTATTTATAATGTTTTATTTTTCATAACTTCCAATACATAACTTCCTTTGGTGATAACATATATAATGGTTCCCTCAAATTAAGTTTCAAAGTTTAAGATTTCTTAAACATAGTATTAATTCTGCCTTGAAAAATCCTTTAAGAACCAAATAAAATTATTTTACTTAGGAAAGCAAAATGTAAATACAGAGAGGTTAAAATGTGAAATTTCTTCTAATTGCATTCCTTCTCCTATAAATTTACCAAAAAATAATTTTGTAAGTAACTATCCATATCTATCTATTTATCAGTCTATGTATTATTTGTCCATGTCTACATGTACTCAAAACCTAAATTGAATTATATTTTATCTGGAATATATATTTTTTACATAAAATTGATATGTTGGAGGTATTTCTATATTAGCATAGTTTTACTTCCATCTTTCTAAAGGCTTATAATGTTTCATAATATACATGTCATATATTTTATTTAGTAATTCACTGATTGATTCACTGTTATATGATTTAAAAATATTACATTACATTGCAAACAGTGCTATGGTGAGCATTTTATACAAGCATCTTCATTCACACTTCTGTAGAATAAATTTTTAAAGATATAGTTCCAGATCAAATTTTGTATGTTTTAAATTTTGATAGCTATTTCTAGATTGTCATAAAGAAAATTATCATCTTTACAAATCAGACTGTATTTGTAGATTGTCATAAAGAAAATTAACATCTTTACAAATCAGACTGTATTTGCCAGCATGTTTTATAACCAGGCCAGAAGTTTCACAAACAATACTAAATGAAACCTAAAATCTATGCTTGCTCCTTGTCCTTTGAAACTTCAGCTATGTATTTTTCTGCCCTTCTAAGTGTGACCAAATTTTGACTGGGTGATTAAGAAATTAACAAATCAGATTTACTTTTCTTTTTTTTTTCCTGATTTTGAGGTTTTGTTTAATCTTTCTTTCCTTTTTAGAAAATAACAATTCAAAATATATAATCTAGAAAATAACATTATATGCAGTCTTATCCTTGAAAAATAATGGGTTCATAATTAGGTTGCATACAGAATTTTCTATTTTGTAATGTAATGTCTCATGTTTTTAAGTTAATTGTTCCATCTTGAAAATATTTGGCTCCAGTTTTGAAACAATTGTCTCCCCTTTATTTGTAAGAAAACAGAGTTTAATGCTGGTTTTATTTTTGCCAATAGTAAGATGAGCTTTCTTTAAGAGTGATGTTGGTTGGCTTAACTGTCCATTTGAAAAAATACTTCAGCCATTATATTTTACTGAAATATGCATACATGTGCCATATTGGTGTGCTGCACCCATTAACTCATCATTTAACATTAGGTATATCTCCTAATGCTATCCCTCCCCCCTCCCCCCACTCTACAACAGGCCCTGGTGTGTGATGTTCCCCTTCCTGTGTCCATGTGTTCTCATTGTTCAATTCCCACCTATGAGTGAGAACATGTGGTGTTTGGTTTTTTGTCCTTGTAATAATTTGCTGAGAATGATGGTTTCCAGCTTCATCCATGTCCCTACAAAGGACATGAACTCATCATTTTTTATGGCTGCATAGTATTCCATGGTGTATATGTGCCACATTTTCTTGATCCAGGAACCAACCCAAATGTCCAACAACAAATCAGATTTTCTAATTGGAAAGGGAGATTTTAATTACAATTTTTGTGATTCTTTACAGAGCAGAGGATCTGACACAAAGATGGTGAAAACCTCCATTACTGTTTTAGTCCTCCTGCTGTATTTAGCAAGATTTTAGCAAGAACTAAAATTGAAACTGGATTGCATTTAAAAGAAAACAAATTACAGCATTTCCTGGAGCAAAATTCACCCACAATGTTATATTACTGACTCCTGAGTGGTTTAAACTGCTCTCAATTTTTAGCTGAATTTGTCAGGAATATTTCATAACTCTTTCTTTCTATATGAGTATTAGAAAGATATCTACCATTTTGCTTACTCGCACAAAAATTACATTTGTGATTCATTTTTAAGCCACATGAAAAGCAAACTTTGTATGTGATTTTGTTTAGAAACTGGTATTACTATGTGTAGACACTGTAATGGAATCCAGGAGGTCTAAATGTTAATTCTTATCATGTCATTCACTAACCACAGCTCCTGACCAAGTAATTTAAATGTTCTGGAAATATGTTCGTTATCTAAATATAATTGGTTGGATCAGGTGCTATTCTAGGTGCTTCCAGTTCCCAGGAAATTCTAAGGATTGAATATATAATTTTCCTTCCTACAGCGATAAACTCTTCAAAACAGGCATGCATCAAGACTTGCAAAAATCAATAAATGACTATGGGGAACCATTATATTTTCTTAAACAATGAAGTTCACCATGGTAGTTAAGAGCATGGACTTTTGAATTCTTGAGAATTAGCTTCAGTTTCCTGCTCTGTCACTTAATAGCTTGTCCATTAAGCTAGTTAACTAACACTTACTTCTATCTGAAGAATAATGATAATAATGATATCATGTATCTTCTAAAGATTCTGGGAGTATAAAATGAATGTATTCATAAAGTGCAACATTCAATACATATCAGGTGCCCATTAACACTATTGATTAGAATTGTTATGATTAATTTGTGAAACATCATACAAGTTTTAGTCTTTCTCATTCCCTACATTAACTTGTCCTAATTTGGCAAAAACAGTAAGAATAATAAAACCCTTGGATGCTTCACTTCCTTCAGTGAAGCAGGGCATTTGGTGAACAAGTCACATTAGAGCCCTAGGTTTCCAAACTAAAAATGTCCTCTCTAAAAGAAAGCAAAAGCAAAATCCTACTACTGCAAGTTCCTGGTTTATTCTCAAGACAGAAAATTATTTATGAGGAAGGAACACATAAGTTAACAAAATCCTAAAGAGCAACATTTTCTATCTCAAGTCTGTCCAAGTGAACTTGAAACTGTCACCAAAGGCAAGAAAGATAACTTCAATAAACAGACTGTTGGCACCTTACTCTAGAGTTAGTGACATTTTTTCAAGGATTGTCTACTCAAAGGTGCTGAAAACTGTAACAAATAAGTGATCTGAAACATTCCTGAGATTTGCAAAGAAATAGAGGCAAAGTGTAATGTGATACAACTTGAAAACACTGAGTGTATTTTTTTTTAAGTTTTGAAGTTATGAAAGTTAGGGTTAGAAGGAATTTAGGAAAAATCAGAGCTTCAGTACTAGTTTCACATATCCTGTCAGTATCAGAAGATTTAGCTGATAGGTTGAGTTCATTCTGTTTCTTTCTTTCGTTCTTATCAAAGTCTGTAACATCAGTTTAAATGGCTTATGTTCAACACCTGCTCTGAAGGTAGATTCTTTTCTTGAGAATCCTTCTGAAATTTCTGATACCAGAATTTCTTATATCTTCTTAAAAATTCGAAAAAAAAAATTAAGGTTTATGTAAAAAATATGAGTTGGCATTATGAGATACAATCAGGATAAAATAAGAAAGTAATTTCTGATGAGGACATTTTTTGAATTGGATAAATATAGTTTTTATCATGAAAAACATTTTTCTATTGAAATTTTGCTAGTATCTATTTTGCATCCTAGACGCAGAGACTTCATTAATAAAAAAGTTGACACTACAGTCTTTTCTGTCTATTAATTTACTCCCAAACTTTGTAGTGCAACAAGAATTCACTGTGTGGGCCGGGCAAGGTGGCTCACGCCTGTAATCCCAGCACTTTGGCTGGTGGATCACGAGGTCAGGAGTTCAAGACCAGCCTGGCCAAGATGGTGAAACCCCGTCTCTACTAAAAATACAAAAAAATTAGCCGGGTGTGTTGGTGGGTGCCTGTAATCCCACCCACTTGGGAGACTGAGGCAGAGAATTGCTTGAGCTCAGAAGGCGGAGGTTGCAGTGAGCCGAGATAGAGCCACTGCACTCCAGCCTGGGCGACAGAGCGAGATTCGTCTCAAAAAAAAAACAAAAAAAAGAAAAAAAGAATTCACTGTGTGGAACATAAAATGGTAGGAATTTGGGGAACATCATTTAGGACTTTGTAAAAAGAGTCTTTAAAATATTTATAAAATTCAATCAAAGGAGCTAAGTTCAGACATCCTTGCTAAGGAAATTATAAAACAGAAAACCTACTTAAAAATTTATGAACAAATATGTTCACCTTTTCATGAATTTTGATAAATCATCTAAATATCAATTCATCAGAAGTTTTATAAAACATAAAAACTGTGAAATCTTCATCTACTCAATTAATTTTTGATATTTATTATAAATTCATCAAGTAATATGAAAAAATTTATGACACATGACAGAAAATAAGTAAAATGTAAGATACAGATGTGATATAATTTCCTCTCTCTATAAAAAAACTGTAATTCTCTACTAACTTTTTTCTGTAAAATACTACAGGTTACTTTCTTCATAGAGCTCAGTAGGTTCAAAATTTTCTATACATATAATTTATAAATTTATAAAATTGTTCTGAAGGAGAGTTTACAAAATCAAAGCTCTCTTAGAACAAAACAAAAACTTTAAAAATATTCCTTTATAGTGGTAATTTACTATGTAAAATATGTTGTGATGTGTGGGTGTGGGACATTATATTCCCTCATTAAAATTCAGACCTCCCTATTTAC
This sequence comes from Homo sapiens, assembly GCF_000001405.40. Lineage (NCBI taxonomy): Eukaryota > Metazoa > Chordata > Mammalia > Primates > Hominidae > Homo > Homo sapiens. The sequence continues at coordinate 38,586,739 of NC_000011.10, read as the reverse complement.
TTGAAATCCAGCATTTCTTTGTCCTACCCTCCTTCTCCCACCTTGCGCTCATATCTCCCACCTTCCATTCTGGACATGTGACTCATCCTAGGTACCCAGAATGATGCTTTATGAGGTTCCTTTCACTGTATGACTTCTCATTTGTAAATATTTTATTTTTCTCTTTCTCTTGATATTTTCTAGTCTCTTTCTTAAATTTTCTTCATTTATTTTCAAGAGGATCGTTATTTCTGTTTGAGTTAGCCTAGATCAGACTTTGCCATCCTCCAGAGTTCATTTTAAATCAAGCAATACCTACCAATTGGTAATTAGTTTAAATCAAAATAAATGATTTTGACTCATTAGATTATGGCAGAGCATAACTACACCATGATTCAGTAAACAGATAGGATCTTGATTTAAAATTACCACTTGGTCATATGCACACTACTGAAAGTCTGCCTATAAAACTCGTGGAGCGCAGTGCAGGTTTAAAAAAGTGATCTGCATACCGTTGTCCAAATATTTAATTTATACATCAAGCAAATAAACTTAATAACAGGAAAAGTCAGTTCAGATTCTGAATTTTCAGATTTGTCAGGGTATCAAATGTGACAATACAGGGAGAGGGATCTCCTGTCCTTTCCAGCTCTATTAGGCACAATACAGACACTATCCACCCACCACCACCCCACCGCTGAAAAATGCCTCCACTTGGCACCCTCATGGTCCTAGAATTTTCCCATATATACAATGAAATCTGCTCTACAGAGCAGGACCTCACAGACTTGGAAGTGTATTTGGAGCACGTGGCAGAATTCCAGACCTGGGTGATCAGAGCATAGTCTAGAAAGGCAGGCATGCACACTGAGTACCCGTAACCTTGTGGTTCCTTGGACTCCTTGACCACGGTAGAAGACAACCAAAACAAAGCCAAAGTCTTGTCCCTGAAAGGGCAGGGACACCTCGTTCAGGTGGTACTAAGCCTATGTTCTAGTTAAGATTTTTTGTTTGTGTTTTTTTAACTTAAGAAAGTGTATGTATAGGTGAAATAAACATTCTAATTATACTGGAAATTTGAGAGTCACTATTTCCCACTGAGTTATCTCATAGAGCTTTATTGTTGCCTCTCAGTTTTCCTCTGTGTCCTGATTATCTGTCCACTGATCTGTGCTTGTTCTTGCTTCATGCTCATTGCCTGGGCAAGCTTTTTATGTTTACAGCTATGTGATCAGGGTTGTTAGGAATAGATGAGTTGATATAGATATCAGTCCTATAATTAAGGCTCAAAAGAATGATCATCTTAGCCATAGGAGAAACAAGATCTTGAGGAGACACCCTAACATTTCCAAGCCACAATTTAATCTTTATTAACAGTCAGATGATGGATTCTCCCAGGTAAAAGTGTCAACCCATTTTTTATTATTTTATATTCGCGATGAAATTTTACATTTCAAGGAAGCTAATTTTACACCTAGATAGCTGGAGATGTGGTTAATAAGAAGAAACATATTTTGAATAACATTTGAAGGAAAATTAGAATTCTTCCTGATGTCTAATCATTTCTATTTAATCTTAGGAGGAAAATAATTGATTCTAATATTCAGGAGTCAGGACCATGGTTTAGCATGCTTTATGCTGAAAGATATGATTGAGAAATTATTGTCATTTTTCAATTAACAGCCATTTTGTTTGTTGGTATTTAAATTTGATTTGTAATAAAGCTTTTATGAGGCTTGTAAAGAATCAGAATAATAAGAAACCTGCATTTATTCCAAGGAAGAGAAAAACAGGGTCTAGGGAGAAGCATAAAGGGAAGGCAACTTGAATTTAGGTATTCATTGTAAAGATATTTTTGTGTATATGTATAGTAAGACAAGTCTAACACATCTGACATTGCACTTCTTATTGGTGGACATATATGCACTTATGTATGTATATATGTACATGTACAATTATGCTTATCCTAGTTCAAGACCAATAAAGTAGTCTGACCCATTTGCATATGGGTTATCTCTTGCTAACATATGGACTGAGACAAACCAAAAACAACAAAAATATTTTTGGTCTGACTATGTTCAGCTCTCAGTTGCTGTTCTGTTTGTTCATGAGATTTCACTTTAATTGGCTGTGGTCAGTAGAGTTTTCCAAAGGGTTCTTATCCCGCTGATACTCTCATTCTGTATGCTTCTGATGTCAGTCAAGGTTCTTGCTTGCAAGAAAAAGGAAATGAGCTATTTTAAGAATAAAAGCAGTTTTTTGCATCTCAAGAGCTCATGGAATCCAGCAGAGTCTAGATAACCTATTTGGAAAATGAACAGGAACGGAGGCAGTTCTAGGGCATGTCCAAAGCTTAGGTGGTATAATGATAGCTTTTCAAAAACAACCAGGTGATCAGGATGCTGCAGTACAAGGCATCTCTGTACACTCCTGTAGTTACAGAAATCAAATCTTCACTATTGTGTCACTAATTCAGTAATAAAAAATATTCCATAAATAAAATCTAATGTAGGACAATTCAAGTAATTCAATTTTGGCCAGGTGTCTCCAGAAGATAGACAATGGGAGGATCTTTCTACTTTACTTTATGAATAGAGTTATGTTACTATGTCCCTTCACGATTTTATATGATGGGATATCCTCCAAATAAGAAAAGTAGATAAATGTTGAGTAAGCCCAAATGACAAATATTTACTACTTATTTGCTCTCATCACTTGTTTAGATGTAACTGCCCCATATATAATTCCCTTTCCCCTCACCTTACTTCACCTTCAAAGTCAAGAGTCATACCTTGAATTCCCGGCAGGGTCAATTAGTTTGCTATTTTTTCAACAACCATTTTTGAGGGGCAACTATATACCAGCTCCTGACACTTGATTTTCAACATCTTCAAAAGTGAGTTCATCTTTTTCGCTCTCTTGCTGTTTATCATTTTTTTTTTCTGTATTTTATTGCTTTGTCTATGGCAAGACCATCACTTGAGATTCATCTTGGAGTTTTCCCTCTCTCTTCTCTAGTTCATTGCTAAATCATTCTAATTGCACCTTCTTAGTATTTCAGGAATTTGTACCTCACCCTTTATTTCTACTCTATTAGTACCTTTTACCCAACTATATCACATAACTGTAGCACAAGCTAACACATTTTGTCAAGGTGAAGTGAGCATTATTTTACTTCAATCCCTGAATTTTGGTCATATTTCTGTGCAGTAAATTTACTAAAACATAGCTGAAGAAAATGGATTTGCCTTGTGTTTGTTAAATGTTAGTTCAAATTTATTTAAGAAGTAAAAACTGTTTCATAATTGAAACCTATCAAAAATCCTCAATTTTTTTGTCCATTTATTTTGTCTTCACTTAAATGAGTCGCTATGAAGACTAAGAAAATATTCATGTGAAGCTTTAATGTCAGCACAATAGATGTGCTCTATACATGCTAAGTAAAGATAATTATGTTTTTATTGTTGATATGATTATTTATATTTTGTCTCCAACACCAAACGGGATGAATCTAGAGCAACTGAGTATGACTCCGCACTTAGCCCAGCATCTGGAACAAAACCAGAATTTCAATTGTTATTAAACAAAAAGGACAAACAGTAGGGTTCTGACCAATGAGCTCATTGCCTTCAATCAAGACAGAATAAACTGCCATTAGGTATTCTCATCTACATTTCTGTATAACAATGAATGACATCGCTGACATAAAGGGAAATCTGTGCTGTTAGCCTTTCAGTAATTTGCAAGACATTCCACCTAGTTTCTTATTGCATAGCATCATCTTAGAAGTATTCTTCACTTTCATTAGCTCAGGCATTGTTATTAACGGAATCACTTTCACGATCTCCAAATTTCAAACCACATATGTTAGATTTTCTAGTTGAAGGCCTCTGTATGGCTGAAGAACCACTCTGACTGTCCCAGAAGGTACTCAGTGTCTACCACCTCCATAGTGCAGAAATATACATAGCTCTAATATCACACTACTTTTTATTTAAACTTGTGTTTCTCTAAATGAAGATCATTCTAGTGAAACTATGGGTACTGTATACAATCCAGCCCCTGGGTGCATAAAATATAAACAGAGAGAGTAAATCCACTATAATATGCTTAACAAACCTCTTATTATAAGGAAATTACAAACATACGGTTCTTCTTCACTATAGAAATTGACAGTATATGTTAGCTCCAGCCAATTGCACGGATCCTGTTTATTAAATGTTGTCTCCACATCCTGAAAGGTATATCTGTCTATCAGAGGATAAGGACATTAATCCCCACTGTAGGATTGGAGGTGGAATTGAAGGATGCTCTGGGGGAATTTGCCTTATTGGTTTAAAGCACAGATCTCATAAAGCCCTTTTGCTGCCAAGTAGGATTATTTTTTTGGATTACTTTCAAGGGAGATAGAGTAGATAAACACTATTTTTCCCCACCACAAGAATTCATAGTTTCTGGGAGAACATATTTTTCAGTGTCTAAAAACATTCAGTGTTCATATAAATTGTAAGTCCTTGTCTATGAGTAAGACCTTTGTAAACCTTGTAAAAAGTCATTTGCATCAGTTTTAAGGTTCTAGAGAGTTATTGAGGGGTGGTAACTACACATATTTATGTATTTAATACTTTCAGTGACAAATTAGTTATAACTTTTAAAGGTATGTTATAAAGAATTTAGAGTTATGCTGTATCATAAAATACAATAATGAGTAATCTGTATATTTTTTCCAAAATTTCACATGCCAAATAAGTATTCTATAAATCCAAATTAAAATATCTTAATAAATTTGTATTCTTTTATTATTTGCCTTATTTTCTATGCTTGAGTATAATGTTGTACCATAAGCTTTGACCATTGATTACCATGGTTAACTTTACATGAGGTTGAATTAGGTTTACCACAATCAGTGTCCCAAATGTTAACCAAGTCAGAAGCATTTTTAAGGTACAAATGTTTAATGTCATATGTGTGAGCTTTTTTGATATTGTTATTTCTCCATCTCTTTGACTATTATACAAATTAGATAATTTCTTGAAAAATACTCTAAGAATATTAGGAAAAATCAGTGACCTTTATGTTGGTTCTTTATTCCATTCTCTAAGTTTGAGTGGTTCTAAGGTAATTTCATACATTTTACTTTCTAACAATATCATCTTTTTAATTATCTAGTAACACTTTCTGGGGTAATGTATATACCTGTTAGTAGCATTATGAAATGTTTCATTGAATTTTATGCATTGAGCATAAGTACATGAATAGATTTTTAAAATATATTATATGTAATTATATCCCAAGAACAGCCAGTTAGGTCAAGGATATTAGAAGATACTCTTGGCACTTTTATGACAGGAGATGTCCTGTTGGGCTAGAAATTAGTTAATTGATGTGAAATTGCAAGTAATTAGCACCAGTATTTTTCACAGATCCTCTGGAAAAGAAAAACAACGGTTGATTAATAGAAAGACATACTTACTGCAAAATGTTTTAAATGCTATAAATAAAATTGCCAGAGTTCCATGGGTAAAAATGTCCTTAAGGGCATTTAAATGTGAAATTAGAGCAATAAAAGAAAAAGCTAAGTGGTGACCCTCTCCTGGCCTCACAGTACCTATTTGTGTCAACATCCATTGGCTGCCACTATTATTGGTTAGACATCACTGCTTATTACCTGTTCTAACTTCTCAACATTCTAGGTTTGGAATCACTGATGTGAGAGAAAGAATCTGCATCACCTTGAAATGGTAAGGAAGAATGGAATTAAAAACTTCATAAGTTTTTTGCATTTAATATTTCCACTGACTTCCCAAACAACATCTCAGGTCCTTGGATTAACTATACATAAAATTGATATTTCAGCATTTATGTACTTTAAAGAATTATATATTTACCTTGAAGGACTAAGATGAATCTCAAACTGGCTGTTTTAATTGTTTTACATAGATTACATATTTGCAATCTCCTTAAGAAATATGAATTACACATACACTTATCTATACACATATTAAGTTAGAAAAAGTAATGATAGGATGTGGGAGTGAAAATATGTTCTGCTATCTGAAAGATAAATGGAAATCTGAATTAACTTTAATATTTTCATGGTAATTAAAATAAAGTGGTCACTAACAAGGACATATTTCCTAAAAGACAATGTTTCTCAAAGTCAACAGCAAATTTATCTTTCAGAAACATAAGGTTTTTCATGTAATCTGCCATACATACAGTGTTATCTATATCCATGATATCAATAATAGTTGAAAATTATATCAATGAAAAATATATCAATGATATTTGAGCTTTGAAATACGATTGTGAGATTTGGGAAAACATACTTAGAATATTCAAATTTTTAAGGAATTTATTATTAAAGTATTTATTAAGGATTTATTATTAAATAGTTTGCCAACTAAATATTAACTGCAAGTAATATTTTATTATTAGATAAAGTTTGAAAATGAGAAGTAATAAAGACACATGCACATATATGTTTATTGCAGCACTATTTTCAATAGCAAAGACTTGGAACCAACCCAAATGCCCATCAATGATAGACTGGATAAAGAAAATGTGGCACATATACACCACGGAATACTATGAAGCCATAAAAAAGGATGAGTTCATGTCCTTTGCAGGGACATGGATGAACTGGAAACCATCATTCTCAGCAAACTAACACAGGAACAGAAAACGAAACACTGCACGTTCTCATTCAAAAGTGGAAGTTGAACAATGGGAACACATGGACACAGGGAGGGGAACATCACACACTGGGATCTGTCTGGGAGTGGGGAGCAAGGGGAGGGAGAGCATTAGGACAAAAGCTAATGCATGTGAAGATTAAAACCTAGATGACTGGTTGATGGATGCAGCAAACCACCATGGCACATGTATACTTACATAACAAACCTGCATGTTCTGTACATGTATCCCAGAATTTAAAGCAAAATAAAAAAAAGAATAAGAAAAAATGAGAAGTGAAAAAAACTGGCTGCACTCATATTTAACTTAAGTGCTTTTATCAACAACCAGGACAAATTAATTTTGTTTTCCTATGGGAAAAACATTAAATTCTCAAAAGAGCCCCTAAACTTGAGAAATTTACAGGTTCATTGTGACAGCTAGAAAAATTTAAAACAAAAATCAAAATAATAGTAATAATATATAATTTAGAATTCAACTTCAAAACTGACACTAAAGTTGTTTTAAAAAGAGTATAACAATGAAAAGAAAAAGAAATATATGCACAAAAGTTACCAGAAAGAGTATTTAAACCTTTCAAAGGAAATGTTAGTAGAGTCAAATTTAGGAGTTTTAGAGTGACTCTTTCAATTGATAAAAATTCTATGAGAGATTTCTAATACGATGCCATCAAGAAATATTTGAAAATCAAATTGAGCACCATTTTTGTGCTTTTAATCAGACCTATTATCCCTACTTTTCTCTTTTAAAACTTTTCATACTGTATTCCCTCAATTTATATATTTTTCTTCTCTTTACTATTTATTTTACTTATTTTTTCTACTTCATTTTATTGACTTAGCTAACAGATGCCACACACTCCTGAGCCTGCCTGTACTTAACTAACATCTCCAAATTTTCTTACAAAATTTTACTTTCAACTTATCTAATTTCTAAGTAATGCAAAACATATTTTAAAAAGTGTAAGTAGTTCATTGTACACTACTATACTGTATAGTGTTTGTAATCAGAGAAATTCTTTTGTTTTTATTTCTCTAGCATATTTAATCCAAATATTCCTGGCATTAGAAACAGAAACATTCAAAAATCCTAAATCACTTTAGGTCCAAAATGTATTGCATTCAATTTGGAATCTCAGTGCTAGAGTTCCTAACTCCATTGTTTATGGTAATATTCAGGCCACAACACTGTAATCAAATGGCCTTGCCAGGAACACTATTTATCTTCTGTAATAACTTAAGTCATAAAATTTAGACCTTCACCTGTGGTAAAATTGACTACTGGTTTCTAAACATCCTCTCATTTGCTAGATATTCATTGGTTATTTACTGGATCACAAGAAAAACTGTGTGTGTGTGTGTGTGTGTGTGTGTGTGTGTGTGAGTGCGTGTGAACGTGCATGTGTGTTTGTGTGGACAACATATGAACTTCAGGGATACAGTTATTTACCCCAGTTTTTAGTATTTTAAAAAAGAATTTGGCCATATTAGCACATACAACTGAATATCAGCCTTGGCCTTGAGTCATGAATACTTCTCTCTAATAAAATGGAAACACATGCAGACAGGAGTTACATCTAAACAGAAATATAGTCAAAGGCTAAAGAACTAGTTGAAGGATTCTAGACTCATAGATATTTTCATTAAATATTGTTGGTGTGTATTTTCAGGGTTAATATGGCTTGGATATGTGTCTCCTCCAAACACCTCATGTTGATATGCAATCCCCAATGTTGGAGGTGAGGCCTGGTGGGAGTGTTGGATGATGGGAGCAGATCACCAACAAATAGCTTGGTGCTGTCCTCACGATAGTAAATTCTCATGAGACCTGGTTGTTTAAAAGTGTGTGGCACTTCCATTTCACTCTCTTGCTCTCACTCTCACCATTCTGGCTCCCTGTTAACTTCCACCATGATTTTAACCTCCCTGAAGTCTCATCTGAAGCAGATACTAGCACCATGCTTCCTCTAAAACCTGCAGAACAGTGGTCCAATTAAACTTCTTTTCTTTATAAATTACCCAGTCTCAGGTATTTCTTTAAAGTGTACAAATGGACTAACATAAAAAATTGGTACCAGGAGTGGGATGTTGCTATAAAGCTACCCAACAATGTGGAAGCAACTTTGGAACTGGGTAATGGGCAGAGGTTAGAAGAGCTTAAAGGCCTTACAAGAAGACAGAAAGATGAGGGAAAGTTTGGAACTTCTTAGAGACTGTTAATTGGTTGTAACCAAAATGCTGATAGAAATATATACAGTGAAGGTCAGGCTGACAAGGTCTCAGATGGAAATACAGAACTTATTGGGGACTGGAGCAAATGTTACCCTTGTTATACCTTAGCAAAAAACAGTTGTACTGTGTTCATGCCCTAGGGAACTGTGGAAGTTTGAATTTAAAGTACATGGCAGAAGACATGTCTAAGCAGTAAAGAATTCAAGAAGTGACCTGGCTGCTTCTAACAACATAACTCAAGGTGGAAGCAATGCAATGACTTAAAGATTGAAGTTCTATTTAAAGGAGAAGCAGAGCAGAAAAGTTTGGAAATTTTCAGCCTAGTCATGTGATATGGTTTGGCTCTGTGTCCCCACCTAAATCTCATGTCGAGTTGTAATCCCCATGTGTCAGGGGAGCCACATGGTGGGAGGTGATTGGATCATTGATGTGGATTTCCCCCTTGCTGTTCTCATGATAGTGAGTTCTCATGAGATCTGTCTCTCTCTCTTCTGCCTCTATGTGAAGAAGGTGCTTGCTTCCCCTTCACCTTCCACCATGATTGTAAGTTTCCTGAGGCCTCCCAATCATGCTTCCTGTTAAGCCTGTGGAACTGTTAGTCAATTAAACCTTCTTTCTTCATAAATTATCCAGTCTCATCTAGTTCCTTATAGCAGAGTGAAAGCAAACTAATACACCATGTGGCAAAGAAAGAAAAAACTTCTTTGGGAGAGGAATCCAAGCAGGCTGCAGAGCAACCACTTGCCAGAGAGATTCATATGTTTCATAGAGAGACAGACGCTGATAGACAGGACAATGAGAAAAGGCATTTTACAGATCTACAAACCAATCTCTCCTAAAACAGACCCAGAGGTATAGGAGAAAAGAATGGTTTAGAGGGCAGGCCTTGCTTCCCAGCACCACTGCAGGAGGATGCTACTTGTATCCAGGTCTCTCCAACCTCAGCTCAAAGAGGCTTAAATACGTTTTGAGCTGCTGCTTAAAAGGGTAGAAGCTGTAAGCATTGGTGGCTTCAATGTGATGTTAATCTTGCAGGTGTTTAGATGTAAGAATGAAGGAGGCTTGGCAGCTTATCCCTAGATTTCAGAGGATCTATGAGAAAGCCTGAGTGCCCAGGAAGAAATCTCCTGCAGGGGTAGAGGCCTTTCAAAGAACCTCTATTAGGGCATCATGGAGGGGGAATGCAGGGCTGGAACGCCCACATAGAATTGTCACCATGGTACTGCCTAGTGGACCTATGGGAATGCTGCTATTTCCAGACCCAAGAATGGTAGAGCCAATGGAAGCCTGCAATTTGAATATGGAAATGGCACAGACACCCAACTCCAACTCATGAAAGGAGCCACAGGGTATACACCCTGCACAGCCACAGGGTTGGAGCTGTCCAAGACCTTGGGAACCCACCCCTTGCACCAGTGGTTGCAATGTGGGACTTGGAGCCAAAGGAGATTTCTTGGAGCTTTAAGATTTAATGACTACTCTGCTGGGTTTCAGACTTGCATCGGGTCTGCAGCCCCTTTATTTTGGCCAATTTCTCCCTTTTGGAATGAGAATGTTTACCAAATGCCTATAACCCCATTGTATCTTGGAAGTAATAACTTGATTTTTATTACACAGGCTTGGAAGGAACTCATCTACAGAGGAGGCTTTAGACTTGGGAATTGGAACTTGAGACTTTAAATTTAGTTGATGCTGTAATGCTTTAAGACTTTGGGGGATTATTTGAAAGGAGTGGAATGATATTGTTTGAATATTTGTCCCCTCCACATTTCATGTAAAAGTGTAATCCTCAATTTAGGAAGTGGGGCCTGGTGAGAAGTGTTTGGATTATTGGGGGTAAAACACTCATGAATAGCTTGGTGCTGTTCTTATGATAGTGAGTAAATTCTCATGAGACCTGGTTGTTGAAAACTGTGTAGTACATCCCCCAACCTTGCTCCTGCTCTTGCCATGTGACATTCTGGCTCCCTGTCACCTTTCATAAAGAGTGTAATCTTTGTGAGGTGTCACCAGAAGCACATGCTGGTACCATGCTTCCTGTAAAGACTGCAGAACCATGAGTCAAGTAAACTTATTTTCTTTGTATATTAGCCAGTCTCAGGTATTCCTTTATAGTATCACAAACAGAGCAATACAAGGACTTCCTTTTTAATCACATTGATAAATTTATTCTAGAAACACTTATTTAGTTATGATTATTTGGGATTCAACCGTATACATAATTGTATGTTCTGCCCTCTTAGATATTCCATTCTAGTAAACAAAACAGACACATAAACAAGGAAATGATGGTATGTGGAATAAAGTGTTATAAAGGAAACAAAGATAGCTGTCAGATAGACATAACATGGATGTAATTTTTGAGATGAAAACTTTAGTTAATGTTAATAGGAAAGCCACTCTGTGGAGGTGGCATTTAAGTTGAAACCTAAAAAGAAAAAAGGCGTGACTAGGAATTAATGGTTAAATTTCACTGTCCCTTTCTTTAAATCGGACTGTAAGAGAAATTGCAATAAAAATTAACTGACTACAGAAAAGTTTTTTTTTTGTTTGTTTGTTTCCTTGGAGCTATAAAAAGATAGTAAATAAATAAATACAGAATGTTTATTAAAGATTTATAACAATGTGTTCAACCTGGTCCATCTTCAAGAGAATTAAAGTCAAGTTGTGGAGACAAAATTGCAGCAAAGAAAATAATTAGAGAAGAGATAAAGTTCAAGGGATGTTATACTGATTTGTAGGAAAATTAGACGTGTGTAGGCTGGAGTAATACATCCAGAGTGTTATGACTCCCTAGACACAGTTCTAAAAAAGGCCTAATTTTTGTAAAAGGGAGACTATCATCAGTGAAACACAGCAAGAGAGTTAATAAAACTTAAACATATTCAACATAGTATTCAAATCTGTGTATTATAGTGAAAGTAGTACTGGATTAGGAGTTTGATGCTCTGGGTTTTGACAACCAATAAAAATGTCAACTTGGGTAAAGGAGTCATAACCGTTCTTAGGCTCCATTTCTTCATTTCTAAAGTGGGACAAAAACCTTTTTTCATGCTAACCAAAGGAAAGCCCTGAGAATTTGAGGAGATGATATATTAGTACAAACAGCAAAATTATAATCCTACTCAAATACTGATAGTAATAAGATTTGATGAGAATTGATTTAGTATTAGGTACTGCACAGTGTTTTAAATTAGTTTTTCTAATTTGACAGCGACTGTATTTTCATTCTTCAGAAAAAGAAGTTAAAGCACTGGAAACATAGTTTCTTGATGTCTGTCTCTTGCCTTCAACATTAAGTAGTAAAGCCAACATTTAAAAGTTATTTTTCTAATGCCTAATTACTATGTTCATAACTTCTTTGATGACGTTAAGGATGAAGATATTAATGCTAATGCTTTTATTTGATTTTTAATTTTGTTGATTGATTAGTTGATTGCTAGGTTCACTAAAGAAAATATGCTAACAAATAAATCTGGATTTAAATTTGAATGTTTCAGAGGAAAATTTAGTAAATTGAATCAGGACAAAGGGTGGCCCAATTAATGCCTTTCTGTATTTCTAATGCATACATTCTAGGATTTTTAATTCTCTTAAATTTTAAAGTATCTTTTACACACACACCCACACACACACACACACAGACCACCATTGTAACTTTAGGAAAGTTTAGTGATGTTCCTTTTCCAATAGAAAAACTAGAATAGGTTTGCCTGGTATTTAAAATACCTCTGCGCTATAATGAAGAAACCAATGATAATGCTACTATAATTTGGAGTCTCTGAAGGTTGTTGAAAATGTGTCGCTTCTTGAGATTATTAAGTGCAAATCTGTGTGTAGCATTCTCATTTTATCATTCAAAGGAAAAACAGCCAATGAAGCTGTACTTTCTAATTTGTTCTCAGTTTTCCTTCATGTGTATACCAACTGGGTATGAACAATACAAGGGTAGTTAAGTCTCAAGACACATAGCTAATTGCAGAAAACTTGACATTGTTGTATATGTCTAAAATTAAAACAGGTCTCAGTTCCATGGGGACATACTGCAGTACATGCAGTTAGCAACTTAATTTAGTTGCTATTTATTGATTTAGTTCAGAACAAATCTCTCCGTGTCTGAATAAAAACAAAACCAAGCCACAAGAGCTGGCAAATCTCAAAGGCATGTAAATAGAGGAATATGCTTTCAATGAGAAGATATGTTTCCATTTTTGATACTTGTTGATTCATCAATGAGGTCATCTAATTCTGGGTAATCACACTGGCTTTTTAATTTAGGTAAAATATCGCTTTTATAAAAATAATTTAAAGGATGAACACAATAATATAAACTTGGAATTAGAAAATAAAGAATAGTAAATAATATTCAGCAAATGAACTGGATTAAAAATGTGTTTGTAGAAATGGTATTAAACCATTATTTTTGAAAAGTCATTTGGCAATAAATAGTCATAAAGCTCTTAGTATGTTTTGCTTATGTATTTTCACTTTTGAAATTTAAATATGTCAAATAGTCATAAACATGAAAAAAGATACATTACTGACATTATTAAAGAGAATAAAACAAGCTAAATATTCAATAATAATGGACAACTTAAAGCATAGGATAGAATATTATGCATTAATCATCACCTATTTATTAGGTTGGTGCAAAAGTAATTGCAGTTTTTGCCATTACTGTTAATGGCAAAACAGTAAATGGCAAAAACTATGATCACTTTTTCTCTAACTTAATACCATACAAGAGTCAGGAAAGTCATAGTTTACAATGGTAAGTTAAAACAAATACGAAGTAGCATATATGATATAAATATATATCATATGTATTAGCATATGTAGTGTGTAGTTATTTTAAATCTATAAATAGAATATACAGTGCTAATATACTTTTAGATTATATATTACTTATCCATAATAATGTAAGCATTATGGCACCATATTATTTATCTTTTTGGCTTTTCTGTTATGATTGTATAAAAAGATACTTCCTTCAGTGTTCAGTAGAAGGACAATGGAACTTCAATCATAATCAACTTTAGGTCTTGGTCTTGAGATACCTCCATGAAACCTTGTCACTACTAAAAGTCTCTTTCCTCCTAAGTATTATATAAGATGTAGCTGTCTAAGATGGTTGTTATTTCTTTCTTAAACAATTCTTAAAATTAACCTGTGAAACCATTTGAGCTTTGACTTTTTTTGTTGTGAATATACTTGGATAACAAATTCTATTCCCTTAATAGAGGCAGAACTATTTTGAATTTTTGCTTGATTCAGTGCCAGTTTTGTCCAAATGACTTTTCAAAAATTTGTCATGTCAGTTGCATATTTGAGGCAGAGATATTTTCAAAGAATTAGCTTATGTCTGTAGGATTTGTAGTATCTGCCATTCATAATATTATTTTGTATTTGAAAAAATATTCTACTAAAAATTGTATTGTATTTCTTTACTTTTATATTTTTAAAGAACTGAGTTTTGGCTTTGTTCATTTATTTCTCCTTCTTTCTCTACTGTATATAAATATATTACATATATACATCTATAAATTTATTACATATAAATATATATAAATTTCTTAATGTGTAGAATTTTTGGGTTCTCTTATATTGCTACAGAAATAATTTTGTTTTGTTTCATTTTGTTTTGTTTAGTTAGGGGTGACTTGATTATACTCAAATTGCAAACTCTCTCACTTGTGTGGAACCTAACATCTCTAGCTTGTTAACTTATCCTTAGCTGGGCTGCTTTGAGTGAACCACATGCATACATATGTCAGCAGTCAGACCCTAAATACAGAAATATAGCTTCTGCTCTCTGATTGTCCTCTTTCAAAGATTCTCCCCTCACTTTCTGGCAGCTGAAGTTGTCAAATTCTTTCCTTTTTAAATTAGTATTTTATTTTATTTTTCCAATACAAGACTGTCCTTGACCTTTCCTTGGGTTAAAAGCTGTGTAGAGAGAAAATCTTACGTTGTGCAATTGCCCTTTTTCTGTATCAAATTGCATCTGAAATTTGTCTTGAGATAGTTTGCTTTTGTATTCTGATCAGTTCATAATTGTTATCTATGGGAAAGGTACTTGTCCCTGATGGAAGTGGAATTTTCTCCTTTTCTATTTTGACATTTCCATCTTGTTTGGAGGACTACTGTACTTTCTGCAACCAAATGCTCCAGTCCTGTCTCATATTTTTCCGATTCATTTTTCCA
The DNA here is from genome assembly GCF_000001405.40 of Homo sapiens. Taxonomy (NCBI): domain Eukaryota; kingdom Metazoa; phylum Chordata; class Mammalia; order Primates; family Hominidae; genus Homo; species Homo sapiens. The sequence goes on along the minus strand of NC_000011.10, from coordinate 38,571,629 downwards.
AGGATGCTACACACTTTTGTTGAAGAAAGGTATTTATAAACCAAGATCTTGATGAGGAACACATTCATTGCTATTGGGGTATTATTGTTTATGTTATACCTCCATGAACATCTATGTATCTATGTATCTATCTGTCTATCCATCTATTGTTTCATTTTATGAATCAAAATAAGGCAGAAATCAAGAAGTAGTAGAAGGAAAGGAGTGAGCGTTCATGGGGATTTCATTAAACAATGATAGAAAATAATTATTGCAATCTAAATACTTGATTAAATCCTGCAATCATGATGGTATATTACCTAATAAAATAATAAATTGAAAAACAAAATAAAATTAGGTGATGTGAAACAGAATTATCTTTGTAGTACAGAAATCATCACGAGACTGTTTTTCCATCTGTTTTAGTTTGTTACTGCTGCTATTATAAAATACCTTACTGGATAACTTATATAAAACAGAAATTTATTTCTCACAGTTATGGAATCTGAGAGGTCCAAGATCCAGAAGCAGCAGGTGTTGTGTCTGGTAAAGGCCCGTTGTTCATGGCTGGCACCTTCTTACTACATCCTCACATGGCGAAAAAGGACAGAAAGTGATGAATGTTGTGTCCTTACGTGGCAGAGGAGATGGGCAAGCCAAATGTCTTTCTGAAGCATTTGATCTTAAGAGCATTGATCCCATTCTTAAGGGTGGTTCCCTCAAGGCTTAATTATCTCCTAAAGACCCATCTCTTAATATCATCACCTTGGGGTTTAAGTTCTAACATGGGAATATTGGAAGGGCACATACATTCAAACTAGGATAGATGTTTACTGAAAGAAAGAAAAGACCCGAAATTTCCCTCTTATATTATGTTGGCTATTTCATTATGAGGTTTGATTTATTCAACTAAATGTTATAATTCAGATCAGCAAAAACAGACGAGAGCTCACACAGAGCCACTGACATCTCCGGTCTGTTTGATCTAATAGTTCACTCTGCCTTCTATTTATACCTGAGAAATTTAGAAGCACTAAAAAAATTTCCTACAATATATGATATGCATATTTAAAGCAAATGTACAGTTTATTCTTTGTTTTCAGAAAATAAGGCTTTATTGTGTGTCTGAGAAGCAAAATACAATTTGCATTAATTTTACTTGACTTGCTTAAAAGTCTGTGAGGTTAATTATAAAGTGAAAAACAGTGAAACAAAAATGGAACAAAGAAAAACAAAACAAAAATCTCACCTCATTTTCAGGGGCCGTATATCTTCCCAATAGAACCCAAACATAATTTCAATCCAAGGGACAAATGTCAGATGAGATGAAGTATTTCCTGTAATTTGGACCCAATTGGAATATTATCTTTTCTGTGATGACTTCTGTCTCTGAGGCAGTTAAGCAGTCCCTTCATTGTGATTCCATAGTACTTGTAAAAACCCTTATTGCAATAGTTAATATGTAGTATTATGAGTATTATGAGAGTCTTTCAAAAATGATTTAACAGTTAGAGGAAATTTCTGATTAAGTTGAAATGTTTCTTCCTCCTGATTGGTTTCACTTATTAAAATGTCCTTAAAAGAAATATTCCTTTGGGAGGCTCATTAAGACCTAACTTTAAGCAAATTGATTATGCATACTTAATTATTTAGTTCCCATAGGCATTGTATCCAGGGGAGCAATATCAAAATCATTTTAACGACACATGATAACGTCAACTTTAAGTCAGAGAGAAAAATACGTATTGTTCAGTAAACTAAGAAAAATATATAAAAACACACAAATATAAAGAACCATACGTGTAACGTGTGATACACACACACACACATATGCAGAAGAACACACAAGTTCACCTTCAGTACAAATATTGAGCAACCATAGAATATTCATATTCTTAGATTTTTCTAACATTTTCCCCCTAGGGAGGGATCTGCCTTTGTTTCGCTAATTTCCTTTACCTCTCTGACAGCAATGTTGATTCTGCTTCTGTTATGTGAACCTTTAGGTTTTGTTATTTGAAGTCAGGAGCAAAGGGCTAAAGGCATTTTGGATAGGGCTGTGAAGTCAGTTTTATGAACAGTGTTTTAAAGGGAGACCCAAAAAGAAATATGGCATGTAAGGAAAAAATAATTTTAATAAGGGTGCAATGTATCTGACACGTATGTATTTCACAGTGAAGTATGAAACTTGTTTAGAAATATTTTTATTCCTGAATTGTGTTTTTTAACTACAATATCACTCTAATTCTGGGCTATGAGGGACTTCTATTGTTTTCTGTCATTTTATTTATGGCTTTCATTATGTTTATAGAGTTACATTTATTAGTATATTAATATGTTAATATGTATGTATATAAATTTGTATATTTATAAATTTAAATATGTGCAGATATTATACGTATTCACATGCTTTATGTCATTAATTACATGACATTTGCCCTTTTTACTTATTTAATATATTTTATTGTTAAATTAATGGTTTCTTAACATTGTTTTATTTGCAGGCTTTCTTCTTAAGATATCAATAAAATAATGTCATGCTTTATATGGCACCCTAGATTTGATTAATTCATAGACTTTTTTATATATATAAAGGGATTGCATGAAATTGACTAATTGAATTTATTTAAACAAATTAGTGCTTTTCCCAATTGTTTAAGTTGGTTTTCTAAGAAAGACTCAGTTAAATAACAGCCAGGAAAGCATTTGAAACATTTGAAGTTACATTGGAAAAAATGCTTAACATCCCTATATAAAGTAGATGGTGAATATTAAGTGAAATATTTCTCTTTCTTTAAAATTTCTGATGCCTACCAATTTGCTTGCTTCCTCAAAATGCTACAAATATGACATCAATGACATGTCATTAAAAAGCAAAAATTTAAATTAAAACATGTCTTGATAACTATTTTAAAATATTGTCGATCCAAGAGGCAAAAAGCTTTTTTATAGTGATTTTTAATGGTTTTAAAATATTAATACAAATGTCTAATAAAAAGAAAATTTCCGAGTCAGGCATGAACTCATACAAACACAGACAGACCACACGTACACAAAACATATGCATGAATCGTCTGATGAAAAAGTCTTTCACTTTTAAAATCTACAATAAATGAAGTTAAGGTAACTGAAAGATTCTTCTGAATTAATAAATTACTTTTTTTCCTGGACATTTTTAAAACTTCAGCATTTTTTGCAAAGGATTAGGTCTTCAGTTGATTATATTTTGTTGTATGAAATGTTCTTCTTGAGGAGTAAGGAATGGGAATGTCTCTAGGTATCTTTTTTGGTTTCAGCAAATATTTTTGTGCACTTAAATATCCTAAACACTGGAGATAAGGCCCTATTCATTACACATAAATGATAGATTGACAGATAAGGAAAGAGAAAAAGAAATAAAGAAAGAAGGAAAGAGAGAAAAAATAAAGAGTGAGCTAAGAACAGATAGAAGATGATTGATAGATGGAGATAGATTAGATAGATAGATGATCTCCAGTGAAATTATGAACAATTTATTTATATCTTCCCTATGTCTGAAATACATATCATGAAATAAAAATAAAATATAGGACATAGGAGTTTTACTTCAAAATTTCTTCTATTCTTGAGTGCACATTATTATGTTTTCTTCGTATCATTAAAAGCACGCCTTCTACATGTGGAAAGAGATACATACTTTATTAGGTACAGCTTTGTCCACCTGCAACACAGTATAGATCAACAAATTTGGAATGCATGGATAAACCTATGAAAAGTAACCTCCTTTTTTTAAAAAAAGTACTTTTACATAATCTCAAAAGAGACTCTGGTATCCATATAAAATTAAATAAAAGCTTTTAAATAATACTAGTTTTCCTTTGCATTCATTTACACACATTGTGTAAAATGCGTCCTAAGTAGGTTCCTCTCTTCTTTTAACCACTCCAAAACTCTACGTATTTTATTTTATCCTAATGAGACTTTGCACTATTTTGCTCACACCTTACATGAATAGTAATCTGAGGCAAGGAGAGCTCTTAGAATTGAAGAATAATGTTAAGGAACACAATATAATTTAATATCTTGAAAAATTTTAGGGCCAATTTCACCTCTAATGAGGTATTCATAGTTGTTAGTGTTAGTTGTTAATGTTTATGATTTAAATATAGAATATGTATATTTATGTAATAAATATGTCATGTGAATTTTTATTATTATGAAGTAAAAATATGTGTGAATTTTTTTCCTTAAGGTCAAATAGTCTTTATTATATTAAGCAAATAAATATTTGACTAACCAGGGCATCTTAAACTTTTGATAAAGGCTTCTAAAATATATTAGAAAAAATTATTCACTGTAAGGTAGAAAAATTTAAGGTTCATGCTTCAACCTATATTCATTCCTATGAATTTTGATTTGGCAAAAAAATTAGTTTCTCTTTACGTCTGTTGAAACCGCGTACACTTTACTTTTACAAATAATATTTCTAAAAATTTATTCTGTAAACTTGATCATAAGGATAACATGACTCGATTTTCTACTACACGTTTTGTGAATAAAGCTGGGTAATTATTTCAATGATTGAATATGTATATGCACATGTTAATATTACTGAATTTGATGGGAGAAAAATACTCATATGAGTCAAACGTGGAAGGATGGTGAATTGCAGGATGGAGTATTGGCAACTATGGACTTGAACTATGAGGTATTGTATCATCCATACCATCCATATAAAATGGTCAGTGAAAACACTTTTATTTTAGAACAATGACAGTAATATTTTATAATTGGTTATAGGTATGGATATAACATTGTAATTTATAATTCTGTTATATATTGAAACAAATCACTATCATAAATGGACTGACAATTTCAAGTTGTGGTTGATATGAAATATCTGGAACTGCCAATGAGATTTTATATTGATACAATTACCTTGGAAAATTGTCGGAAAATACACACACTAAAGCTTTATTTGGGCATAACTTATGATCTAAGAAACTACACTTTTATACAATTCTTAAAATATGAGAGCTCAAAGGAAACTATCATCAGACTGAACAGGCAAACTACAGAATGGGAGAAACTTTTTGCAATCTATCCATCTGACAAAGGGCTAATATCCAGAATCTACAAAGAACTTAAACAAATTTACAAGAAAAAAAACAAATAACCCCATCAAAAAGTGGGCAAAAGATATGAACAGACACTTCTCAAAAGAAGACATTTATGCAGCCAACAAACATATGAGAAAAAGCTCATCATCACTGGTCATTAGAGAAATGCAAATCAAAACCATAATGAGATACCATCTCACACCAGTTAGAATGGCAATCATTAAAAAGTCAGGAAACAACAGATGCTGGAGAGGATGTGGCGAAATAGGAATGCTTTTACACTGTTGGTGGTAGTGTCAATTAGTTCAACCATTGTGGAAGACAGTGTGGCAATTCCTCAGGGATCTAGAACCAGAAATACCATTTGACCCAGCCATCTCATTACTGGGTACATAACCAAAGGATTGTAAATCATTCTACTATAGAGACACATGCACATGAAAGTTTATTGCAGCACTATTCACAATAGCAAAGACTTGGAACCAACCCCAATGCTTATCAATAATAGACTGGATAAAGAAAATGTGGCACATATACACCATGAAATACTATGCAGCCATAAAAAGGGATGAGTTCATGTCCTTTGCAGGGACATGGATGAAGCTGGAAACCATCATTCTCAGCAAACTAACACAAGAAGAGAAAACCAGACACCACATGTTCTCACTCATAGGTGGGAGCTGGACAATGAGAACACAAGGACACAGGGAGGGGAACATCACACACCAGGGCCTGTCTAGGGGAGGGGGTTAGGGGAGGGATAGCATTAGGAGAAATACTTCATGTAGATGATGGATTGATAGGTGCAGCAAACCACCATGGCATGTGTATACCTATGTAACAAACCTGCACATTCTGTACATGTACCTCAGAACTTAAAGTATAATAATAATTAAAATAAACAGGTAAAAGAATGTGTATGACAGCATTACCCTGAAAGATTTCTAACAGAAAACAAGCCAAATGCCTATCAGTGCAGGAAGTATTAACAAATAAGCTGTGACATACAATCAAGACAAAACTATGCAAACCTCACAAAAATGTTGACACAAAAGTCACAATCAAAAGAGTCAAACTGGTAAGAATCTGTTGACCTAGTTTTCAATATTTGTGAAACATAAAAAAAGTTTTAGAGGGTTTCATTCACCATTATACACCTATTCAGCTTTAGCAGGGAGGTGCTTTCTTTTTAAAATAAAAATAATAGAAATGGTTGTGTTTTTCTATTAGGACTATTTATTTCCTAATTTTCTATATTGACCACACCCAGCACTTTGATAGTGAAAAACGTACATTACAAACAAGTACATTTCCATAGGTTTCCTTTAAATAGCAGGGATACTCTAATGTATACTTCTTGTTAAGGATTTAAATATTTTACAAAGCAGCACAGAATTGCATAAATGCTTAAAAACCATTTATCCTTTCATATTAGTCCATTTCCAAAACAGAAACAAAGTTAAGATTTGGACATACTGTGTCTGTTTCAAAATTAATTTTTTTGGTGAGTGTTTGAATGGCTGATACTTTTCCCACTAAGGCATGAATGAAGCAAATGTTTAGGGACTCCAGGTTCATATGTGATCTATAGCTCCTTTCTAATGTGGCCCATTTGACCTATGTTGGTATACTGCCACATTGTGTGACACACCTTCCCTAATGTGGTGTTTGCTCTCTCTTGTTCTCATTAATAAAAAAGGTTTATCCAATACATTAATCAGTGAGCACAAATGATACCCACTGGCAATGAGAGACTATTTGTGGTCTTATAAAATGTGCTTATTAATAATGGTGTTTTGCTGGGTATTGCAATTAGGCCTGTGTGAAATTTTCAAAAGTGACTTAGGATGATTAATTTCTCAGATAGCAAACCCTCCTGTCATTTTTATGAATGAGGAGAGTCTAAGATTTATAAACGTTGAATAACTTCTCCAAATTCACAAACAGAAGTTGGCAACAAAAGGAGCAGCCATCACTGACAATGTCCTTGCTATCAGATTTTCTACATAAGCACACTTGCTTTACCAAACAAAACAGCAATCTAAAATATAACTTCCACTTTGGGAGGCCCTGGTGGGTGGATCACTTGAGGTCAGGAGTTCGAGACCAGCCTCACCAACATGGTAAAACCATGTCTCTACTAAGAATACAAAATTAGCTGGGCATGGTGGCACACACCTGTAATCCCAGCTACCCAGGAAGCTGAGGCAGGAGAATTGCTTGAACCCGGGAGACAGAGGTTGCAGTGAGCTGAGGTAGCACCATTGCACTGCAGCCTGGGCAACAAGAAGGAAACTCTATCTCAAAATAAATAAATACATACATACATACATCTTCACTGATTTTTTTTTCCCAGCACACCAATATATCCAATATATCTCAATATTTCTTAAAATGTTCTACTAATGTAATCCTAACTGGAAAGGAGAATTTACTCGGGTCACAGAAACAGTTTGGAATCATATATTGAAGCAAGCAATTCATACAATTCCTTTAGAGACTCACCCTTTATATTTTAAATTAATGCAAATTTTGCATTATAGCCTACAGCTATCCATGTTTTCTTTTAATTCAGTTCTGATGTGTAAAATTACTCACCGCAAAGGTGATGTATTTTGATCAACCAATCACCATGTACCCACTAACTGTAGTTATCTGAGAGGGAGAAGTGTAGACTATTTAAAACAAAGGCTTAGCAATTAATAACATGCCTTACTTTCTCTTACTTAGTCACGGTAAACTATGGGTAGCTACTATGTGTCAGGATCTATTTCAGGCTGTAAACCTGTGATAGCAGGGACAGTCAGAATGCACGAATTTTAGAGAATCGTGAGCAGCTCTCTTCACTTGTCTGAGGGTCAGTTTCTTTATATATACAATGATAATGACAAAGTTAGATTTCAGGGGGGTTATCAAGAGGATTGCAGGTGAGAATATGTATGTGCAAGAAAGTGTTTCTAGAAACTATAAAGTGTTATGCAAGTGTAAGTTTCCATTATTATTTTAATATATCTATTTGCTAGGCATTGGGTTTAGGTGCTGAGGATATAGTAGAGTACCAAACAATAATAAAAAAAAAAATTCCTGCCCCTCAAAGTGTTTACATTCTAGTGACAATAGAAGGAACAGAGTCTATCATTATATTTAACATATATATGTAGGCATACACACACAAATAAAAGAAGATATCAAAAAGTACATAAAAATGGAATTTAAAAATACAAATACAAATGGAAACTTTATTTCACAACATTAGCTCCATCAAGCACAACACATTTTGTAAGTGATGATACCAGCCACTTAGTCCACCTCTAAAGAACTGAGGTTTTGGACATTTAACCAAGTCAATGTAATCTATTTTAATTACTAAATCAAGACAAATAGATGCCCTTTAAAGATCTTTTTTAAGATTAGAAAATTTAAAAAATAGTCAGAAGGAGCCAAATCAGGATGATAAGGTGGATGCCTACTAGGTTCCAATGGACACTCTTGTAAAATTGTCCTTGTTTGATTAGAGGAATGAGCAGGAGCATAACCCTCATGGAGAAGGGCTCTCTGGTGAAGCTTTCCTGGGAATCTTTCTGCAAAAGTTTTGGCTTACTCAAAACGTTCTCATAATAAGCAGATGTTATCATTATTTGATGCTCCAGAAAGTCAACAAGCAAAATGAATTGAACATCCCCCCCAAAAAAACTGTTGCCATCACTTTTCCTCTTAATGGTCTGCTTCTGCTTTGACTGGACCATGTTCACCTCTTGTCCACTATCGCTGGATTGTTCTTAGTCTTCAGATCATACTGATTAAGCCATGTTTCATTTCCTGTTACAATTCTCAAAGAAATGCTTCAGGATCTTGGAGCCACTTGTTTCAGCTCTTGTCTGCAGCTGATCTGGGCACATGGATTTTGGCACCCATTGAATGAAAAGTTTGCTCATGTTTAATTTTTCAGTCAGAATTACGTAAGCTGAAGCAATTAAGATGTTTATGGTGTTGGCTATTGTTTACGCTGTTAACTTTTTTATGGCCCCTCAATTAGGGCACTAAAAATAATTTTTTAATTTTGCAAATCCATGTGAATGGTCGGCTGCTGTGAGCTCCATGTTAAATACCAACTCATTCCTTCTTAAAATGAATAATACATTATTAAGCTGCTAATTTATTTGGGGCATTGTCCCCATACATTTTTTGTAAGGTAAAACAGATTTCACCTTTCTTCTACCCAAGTTTTACTATAAATTTGATGTTTGTTCTTGTTTCAATTTAGCAGAATGCCTGTTGCTCTGATGGGGGCATTTTTCAAAATGATTTTTTATACTTCTTAGTGACTCACACTAGATTCTGTTCAAGTATGTTTTAACAAGTTAATTCGAGTTGATGTTGGTATAAAAAACTGAAATTCATACTTTTTTTAAACATACATTTTCCATGACATTTTTGAAAACCCCTTGTTTTCAAAATGAATATGAATGCCCTGCTTGGCTAGATATTTAGACACAAATTAAACTTGTTGACTTCTATAGAAAAACCCAGGGGTCTTCTTATTTAAAAATGGATTTAATGGATTAAAATATATGCATCATGGTATTAAGCATTTTAAATGGATTATCTAATTTAACTTATTTATAACCTTCTGAGGTAGGCAAGCCTTACTAGGATCTTGAACAAAGGAAGTTGTTGAAGCCATATAGCTAGCCAGGGATTCAAACAGAGGCCTTCCTCTAAACAAATATTTTCAGAGAGAGAGAGAGAGAGAGATCTGAATACTCACAAATAAGTCAGACATAGTGAAAGCATGTTCTTTAATAATAGTAAAGGCCAAGGAGAAAAATAATGCACAGTTCACACAGTACATATCTCATATAGTACATGTCTAAATTGGTTTTACTTTGCTATTAAAAAATCATGAGTAGAAACTCAGCTCAGTAACTAGCTGACTATATGACTTTGGGAAAATCACTTACACTGTCGAATTTCAGTTCTAATATACCTATTGAGGTTATTATTAAGGTGCAACAGAAGGTTTAGTATCAGAATCTGCAAAGAAACTCAAAAGAAAGAAAAATACCCAACTTAAAATTGGAGAAAACTCTTGTGCAGACATTCCTTCAATGAAAATATGTAAAGAGGAAACAAGTACATGAAAAGATGCTTAACATCATTAATCATTAGAAAAATACAAATCAAAACTACTATGAGATACCACTTGATACCCACTATTATGGCTATGATTATAAAATCAGGTAATAATATTAGGGGTTTGTAAGGATATAGAGAAATTGGAACCCTTCTACAGTGCTGGTTGAAAAGTAAAATGGTGCAACCACTGTAGAAAACAGTTTGGCAGTTCCTCAACAAGTTAAACAGAATTGTAATATAATCAGCAATCTTACTTGGATGTATATGCCTAGAAGAATTTAAAATAGATGTTCATAAAATCTGTACATAAGTGTTGATAACAGTACAGTTCAAAACAGACAAAAGATGGAAATACCTCAAATGTCAGTCAACTGATGAATGGATAAACAAATCTGGGATATCTGTAAAATGGAATATTATTCAACCACAAAAAATGAAATATTAATACATGCTACAACATGGATGAACCTTAAAGACATTATGCTGAGTGATATAAGCCAGACACAAAAACCTACCTATTGTTTGACTTCAATTATATGAAATATTCAGAATATGTAAATCCACAGAAACAGAAAGCAGGTTAGTGATTTTCAGGGAGAGCAACGGGAAGTGAGTGTTTACAGGAAACTGGAAGACCTTTTGTGGTGATGAAACGTTCAGGAAATGGATAATGGTGATGGTTCTATAACACAGTGAATGTACTCAGTGCCACTGAATGACATATTTCAAAATGGTAAAAATGATAAATAATATGTTATGTAAATTTTACCTTAAAAACAAATACAATAGAATAGAATATAGGTAAAGTATGTGACAGTCTCTAATCTATTATCTGTAAATATTGTAATTATTATTATACCTATAAATAATTCAGACATTTACTTAGAATCACACAAATATGTTATTTACGTGTTTTTTTTTTTTTTTTTTTTTTTTTAGACACAGTCTCACTCTGTCTCCCAGGCTAGAGTGTAGTTCTATCATAGCTCACGTCAGCTTTGACCTCCTGGCCTCAAGCGATCTTACTGCCTCAGCCTTCCATGTAGCTAGGACTACAAGTGTGTACCACAATACCTGGCTACTATTTTGATTTTTTGTAGAGACGACATCTCACAATGTTGCCCAGGCTGGTCTTGAACACCTGGGCTCAAGCAGTCCTCCTGCCTCGCCCTCCCAAAGTGCTGGGATTACAGGCGTGAGTCACTACACCAAGCCTGGTAGAATTTTTTTTTATAAACTTACCTATATTAGCTGGAATTTTTAATAGTGTCTCTGGAAGATTTAAATATGTATTTTCTGCATATAATAGATGCACATAATACACATAATAATATATACATACATACAATTTTAGTTTATATTTATATTAAGCTTTTCTTCTAAAGACAATAATTAGAAATTCAATAATAGAATAGTAAGACATCAAAAATTAAAATGTATAAAATTACATATAATTTCAAAAGCTTTTTGTCATTAAATATTAAAATCAGAGAGTGGCATCATATTGTTTACACTTATGTCCTGCATAAATATTTTTTACATTTCTACTTCCACATTAATATCTTTATGTTTGATATTTCCACATTCTTATATATGTTCATGAATGACTATGACAAATACTAAGAAGAATGAGTTTAATTGCTCTACAGACTCCACAATTTATTGCTTACCATAGCAATACTTTATTAGTTCAATAGATTGAACTGACTCCTCTCACTCATTACAATTCATCACCTCTGCCAATAGATACGTCTGGAACTCACTATTTATAGGTATTAATTAAATGAATCACTGATGATTTTAGTATTCTCTTTAAAAATGTGAAAGTACACATTCATATTAGATTATGGGAATATAAATAGTCAAAATATTCTATATTGAATTTTAATCAATGCGCTAGCACAAAGTTGAAGTAGATTTATCCAGTTTGATTTGTCAGGGTTAATTTAGTGGTCCTCATCTCTAAAGGTACTGTCTGTTTTAAAAATGCAACAAATCTAGCTTTCCATTTGACTTGAGCTCAGAGGTATTTAGCCAAATAAAAGGTCAGATAGGGCATATAATGCTTCTGCAAAATATTATGAATTTATTTTACTGTTAAAGTAAATAACATGTGTAGAAAATTTCAGCTACTTCCCCTAATAAGACCGGACAACCAGCATGAAAAGATATAGCTGGAAAATAACCTACTTGTAACTGATTGAATATAAAGTATATTAAAAAGCAGACATTGACATTTCTCAGGGATTTTAAGCTGTCATGGGGAAAAGTGAAGTATTTAAGGGAGTCTGAGTAATAAAGCCAAAGTTAAAATAATAAAGTCAGAGTTCTTTAGGAGAAATTCAACAAGCCCCTGTTCAAAACACACACACACACACACACACACACACACACACACACACACAAAGAGGAAGAGAGAAAGCAAGAGAGCGAGAGCTAGAAACAGAAAGATGCTGAAATCCACATATGGAGTAGGAATGTGAGATTATTTCGTTTGAATCTAAAATAATAGGACAATCTGAATAGACACTGCTTTTTCTAGAACTTTCAAGCCAAAAAACAAATGTAATATACCTCAGGGGATTTTATGCTTGAGAATGCATCTTTATCCTAATGAGATCTTGTTAAAACATAGATTGTGGGTCACTGCCTCAGAGTTTCTGATTCAGTAAGTTTTGGTAGGACTCTATAATTTGCATTTGTAAAAAAATTCTGAAATGTTGCTAACACTGCTGGTCCTGAAACCTCATCTTGACAACTATAACAATATTAGTCAATATAATGAAAGTAATTAGGGTTAATTTAGGTTCTTTTTAAAAATTCACTACCTGTTTAATATTAGGAAACACTTAATCTATGTGAGCTTCAGTATTCTGATCTTTAAAATTGATATGGTAATAATTTCTATCAGGGTTATTATAAAGCTCATGTAAGGATGGATATGAATTTACTTGCTCTAGTAGTATCAGCTAATATTTACTTAGTACATATTAAAGCCAACCAAAGTTCAAGGTATTTTATACATTATCTTATTTATCCATCATCATAGCAATTGTATGACATGGTTACTATTACTGCCCTGATTATTAATAAGTCAACTGAGGTCCAAACCTTTTAAATAAGTTGCCCCATGTCACATAGACAGTGGATGATCATGCCAACATTTAAAGATAGCTGGTTAATACTAGAGTTCCAGGAGTTGAGCACTTTATTATGGTTGCTTCATACATTGAAAGCTGTTGTGAAAATACTAATTAATTATATCCTTAAAAAATGAAAGACCAAATATTTCACTTAATCTTTTTATCCTACATTTCTATTTATTTAATACAACCTTATGATTAAAAAATGTAGACTTTAGGCTGCTTGGACTATTTGATAAATTATAGCTATCTGACTAAATTTTTAAATATCTTTGTATCTTATTTATTTGTCTTGAAACTTGGGATAATAATTGAAACTAGAATCATTTTGATGATTCAGATACATTATTGCATACGCAACACTTAAAATAATACAAGGTAATTATGAGTAATCAATTCATGTAATAAATATTCCTAGAAATTACAATAGGAATAAGAATCCATACTTTGAAAATTTCTATGGGCTGTGTGTGTGTGTGTGTGTGTACATGCTGAGCATGCTGTAAAATTGTAATGAAATAATAAATATAGTAACTGTAAGGTTAAGAAGTTTTGAGACTTGATAGTGGGAATTGAGAAGGAGGGTGGCCATTCAAACAGAACACTAGGAGCAAATGGATGGAACCAAGTACACAATATTCTGAAAGACTGTGAGGAAAGTGGTCTAAGTAGGGGACAGAGTTGATCGTAGAAAATAATGACAGACATAGGTAGGTTGAGGTCAGATTCGACTGTTGGATAGAATTTGAATATCATTTCTTTTTTACTGTGGAATGCAAAGGAAGGAAAGACAAACGCATAATTTTGACTAAAGAATTCTAAAAACCTGATCATGGCTGTCAGTTCAAATAAATTAATTTGGGAAAATACCAGACTCAGACTGCTTTTTACCATTCTGTTCTAGTCCCAAAATTTCTTCCCGTTCTCCCTTCCCGTATTCTACTCAAACCAGAGTACTAGATAAGTATAAACCAAACTAGAATCAGCCAATTTAATGTGAGCAGAATGAGAAAGGATAGCTTTAATTAAAATTTAATCAAGAGAAAAATTTACAATGCCATAAATAATATTTTCCTAATATTAAGTCAAATAAACTCATAAGAAACACATGAATTAATTCAAGCCATTTTATATAGAGAAATTATATAGAACATAATTTAAAATAGGGCAACTATTAATATTATTAAAAATCCTTATAAAATCATTTTGTAGTGAGATAAGATGTGTCAGTGCAATCCAACTTAATCTAAACACTTTAACATAAAAGCCAAAAAGACAAGACTTAGTGAGTTTTAATTCATACTAGAAACTTACACTTTTAAAATTCATTTAAACAAAATTTCATACAAAGAACCATAATCCAGAAATGTATATCTATTGAAATAATAAAATCAATTTAACTTAATATTCCATAAAAATTACGTATAACTCAGATTCACTCTATTCACATACATTAACTCTATCATTGTTTCTATATCCAGCAAAATTATCATTCAAAAGTGAAGCAGAAATAAAGATTTTCTAAAACAAAAACTAATTAAATTCATTGCCAGTAGATGTTCCCTATAAATAATGTTTTCAGAAAAGATGCATGAAAGTCTTAAAACTCTCACCTGGCTAACTAAGGGAAAAAATAGGGGACATAATCACCAATATAAGAAATGAAAGAAGAGACATCACCATTGAGTTCATTGATATTAAAAGAATAATGAAAGAATACTAGGAACAATTCTCTGCCTACAAGTTTGATAACTTACATAAAATAGACCAATTCCTTGAAAGATACAAACTACCAAAACTCATACAAGGAGAAAAAATAACCCAGATAGTACTACAGCTATGAAATAAATTGAGTGAATTACTAATAATTTTCAAAAAAAGAAACAAGTATAGAGGAACAGATGAGTTTGCTGGTGAATTCTAACAAGCATTCGAGAATCAGTAATACAAATTATTCATAATTTCTCCAAGAAACTAGAAGCCAAAAGAACATTCCATACTTTCCATGAGGTGAATATTGCCTTACTCCAAAACCATATAATGACATTACAAGAAAGGAAAACCATAGATCTCACATAGATGCGAAATCTCTATAAAAAATATTAGCAAATCTAGTTCAAATCAAAGGAATTATATACTGCAAACAGGTGGTATTAATTCCTGGCTGATTCACTATTTGAAAATAAAGCAATAAAATCTACTACATCAGAACAGTAAAAAAGAAAAATCATATGGTTATATAGTTGATGCAGGTAAAGCATTTGATGAAATGTAACACTCATCCATGATTAAAAACTCTCAGCAAACTAGGAACAGAGAATTTTCTCAGCTCGTTAAAGAATGATATATGAAAGACTACAGCAATATCAAACTTCATTGTGAGAGATTGGATGCTTTCTTCCTAAAATGGCAAATAGACAAGAATGTCCTTTCATTATTTCTATTCATTACACTGAAAATACTCTATAATAAAATAAGGCAAAAAGGGTATGCAGAGTACAAAGAATAAATAAAACTTAAAAAATCATTCATTATTGGCCAATATGATTTAATTAAATCCTACTCAGATCACTCCATCTGCTTGCAATTAAATTCAAACTTGTTTATATCCCCATAGTAAAGTGAGTTTTTCCATCCAGAAAAATTCACTCTACCTTAATTGAGCAAAGAAGATTAGTCATGAAGAAGGATTCTTAAAAATTTCATGCTTGTTAAAAATATGGGTGCCACCTATATTTTGGAATTTTTGGAAGGTCCTGGATCTTTATGTATTTAACAATCTTCTAGGAAGATTTGAAAATTATTGTTCCAGACCAATTTAATTCTATTAAAACACCTGTTAAATGTTCTATAATGTGGTGGATTTCAACTTGGCTGAAAATTTGAATCTCCTTGGAAAGTTTTCAAAATTGGGTTTTGAATATATATATATACATATATATATATATATATATATATATATATACATATATATATATATATATATATATGTATATATATATATTCTTGGGTTCACCTCTAGAAATCCCGATTTAATTGATTTTCAGTAGGACTCTGGCACTAGTAATTTGTCTAGGTGGTTTTAATGTGAAGCCTGTTCTGAGAACCACTGGTCTAGGAACTGTTACCACTCACATTGCTAAATATTTCCTGTCATCCCTATCCCCAAAATTGGCCACAAGCCTGTTTAATGACAATTGCCTTTTGCCTCGGATTAGGATACACCCAGGTGTATCGTGCCGTAGAGTCTAGTCAAATTTACATAAATGTTGATGAATGTTCAGGGATAATATAGAAACCCAATGGACTTGTTGAAACTGTATATTAGTTTCTTGAATTGTTCTTTTGCATTGCAGATTCTGACTTAGATGGTCTTGAAGAGTAGGACTCAGTTTCTAAATTTTTAACAAGCTTCTACGTAATGCTAATTCTGATACTTCCAGTCCATGGACCACATTTTAAGTAGTAAGACAGGAGACTCTGGATCCAGCTGGAGAGGGTACATGCATAGCTAAAGAATCCCAGCTTCAAGTGAAGGATGTGACATTCTAGATTTGCATAACTCTGTATCTTCTCAAAATAAAACAGAAATTATAGCTATGTCTTAGCTGTTCTATAATTAAAGATCATAACATATACTAATTCTACCATGTTTTCCCTACTTTAAAAAGCATTTGAGTCAGAGACCATATTGAGGTAAATTTATTTATTCTAATTTTTAAAAGTTAAGTCACTTGAACACTTGGCCATTTAATAGATCATTAACAAATTATTTATAAAAAAGAGAATGCAGTGTCTTCATTGTTAGCCAACACCTAAGATCATTCTGATGCATGTAGAACTTCAGCCACGGGCCATGCATTGAGAAACACTCATCTTATGCTGGAACTTTGCAATTAGGAACTTTGTTAGTAATCTAACTCTGTAGCAACTGGAAAACGAGACAAGGAAACATGGCAGCGCAGTTGGTGTTTTAATAGGGTAAGGCATGAAGTTGATAAAAATACCGACTCACTAAAAATAAACAATAAATCTAGTTTCTCAATTGAATATGCAGGAGCATAAAGAGATCAGCAGAGAATCTGAAGTGGTTTGATTTATACTGTTATAAATTCATAGTTTCTTTGAAGTACTTCTCTCTCTCTCTCTCTGCATGTATGTATATATGCATATAATATATATTTACATATTTATTTATTTCAGAGCTTGAACCAGTTTCATTTACAGAAAGAAGCTGAGGGATTCTAGCTATGAGAACTGGAAGGTCTGTGAGCAAAAAAGCCCAGAATGTCATTACCACTAAGGTTTGTAACTAGATCCATACTAAAAGAAAAACATTTCCAACAAAATTTACTTTTTGAAGGTACTTGTGCTTGGACTTGATTTTCTAATCTAAAAATTGCTGGAAGCCACATTGTTTTTCTCAGATCATTATAATAAGACGGTAATATTCTGAAGCTGTTTCTTAATTTAGATTGAGACATTTTCATAAACTAAATGTCTAAGGAAGCACAGTGACATCCATGTAGTATTCAGACAGTTGCACCTCAAATGTGCACATACAGACAAACATACTCTGGCACGCAGAGTTGTATTTAATAATGTGTATTGCATTTTCAGATACATAGTTGTTTTAGTCAGATCCAGACACTTTTATCTTCTCCAACCAAACGTTTTCAAAGCTCATTAACACATCACTGTATATATAATTACAATTTCACTTGGCACAGCATTTCTTGTTGATTGCTGGGTGGGGAATAGTTCCCTTTGGTGCCTTTCTCTCTCATCTGGAGCAAAGAACCTAACTGCTGTGACCACTTATGAGAAGAACTTGGCACACTGAGGGCCCCAGATGGAGATCTCTCCAATGTGTTTCCAGAGGCAGCATCTGTGTCTTTGATCGGATTCTGGGATGGCTCCTTTAAAGACCTCTTGAACTGTTCTAGTGCTGAAACTTAGAACAGCTGTGGATTTCCTTGTTGGATTAATTTCAAATAACCTACATTCACAACAAGATTATCTTCTGGTGTTTTATTGAGGAAAAACATACGCATTCCTGATCCTTTGAGCATTAGTGGATGAATAATGACAGTATGTAATATGATCAGATTACCAGCTGTAATATTAAAACCACTACTTCTCCTCAACCCCAAAAACAAAATAAAGTGCCAAACAACACACTTTACTGGACTGTAGACAGTCAACTTTTTTCTATTATAGTTACTGAATAGTGAAATGTTTGAAATGGAAGGCATATTGATATTGTGAACAGGAACTTTGGAGGAAGTCTGCATCCATGCTTACTGATCCTGTGTATTGACTGTGCGATTTCTCAATAGTTGATTTTACTGTTGTAGCATATGGTAACTTCTACAGTTAGAGTTCAAGGGATATATCATTTAGAAAAGAAAAAAAACTGAAAAAAATTTTGAAAATAAAACTATTTTACTCTTAAATTATACAACAAGGAAGAGTTAAAAGCCTAAAGCAAAGGTTTATCTTAATAATAAGCCCTCAGTAAAGAGGATTTGTGATATGATAAACACACTATGTCTCTTCAGAGATGTATAAGATTCTACAACTTAAAATATCAATATTAGCTAAAGGCACACCACACAACTGACTATAAACTAGTTTATTTCTAGACTGTCATTTTAAATCTTATAGTTTGCTTTTACTCTTGCTTGTGTCGACTAGGAGCGATCAAAAGAAAAAATATAAAGTCCAACAAAGAATTTTAGTGTGCCTGCAGCTTTGTTTCAAAGTTGTGTTTTTCTAAAATATTCATTCTTCAGAATTAATTTGATATCATGGTTTTGAATATAATGCTTCCCATTGCTAAATTCCAATATTTGGAATTAATGAATCAGCACAGCCCATGCATGCCATATATTTTAATAGAAAAGCAAGTATCTTCCAAATGCAAGACTTCTGAACTTCTGCAGCTTCAGCAACTCTTTTCTTCTCAAGATCAGAACTTAGACAGTGATTCTTGCATTCTCACTAACCCTTAGAATTCTTTCTAATTAAAATCCCTGATTCACTGCAATGGATTATATTCTGTACTGCTTTCGCTCACTTAGTCCACAGGTTTCATTATGTAAGATAAAGTTATGACCCATTTTATTAGTATTAAACACAACATACATAGCAATACTTTTATTATAAAATCAGCTTAATACTACAGTCATTATTACACTGTGATCATTAGTAATTCATAGAGTCTATCAATCTCAGAAAATTCTCCTATTTACTGCAGATACTTTAATTTTATAGCAAAGATTATAATACTTGTTATGCCTCAAATATTCCATGTGCTTTCAAGTAATTTTGCTTTTGATTATTTCCTTTCATCTTCTTGGAATGATCTCCCTAACCCCTAGACTAGCATAACTAAATCCTACTTGTCTTCTTCCACTATGATTCAAATAACAAGTCACTTTACTTTCAGTCACCTCTTGATATCTTCTATTGAATTTAACCATTCCTTCTGTGAATTTCCACAATAATTCATGGATATCTGTGATAACTTAGTTCTTTCTAAGGGATAGTAAGTTGTTTGCCATTTAAAAAAAATCTCAATATCCTCAATCATGGTACAGAATGGGTACAAAGCAACAATTTTGGAATTAAATGCTATCTTTTGAGATAAGGAATTGAAGGCTGGATGTGGTGGCTCATGCCTGTAATCCCAGCACTTTGGGAGGCTGAGGCGGTGGATCACTAGAGGTCAGGAGTTCAAAACCAGCCTGGCCAACATGGGGAAAACCCCGTCTCTACTAAAAATACAAAAATTAGCGTGGCTTGGTGGTGCATGCCTGTAATCCCAGTTACTCCAGAATCTGAGGTGGGAGGAGCACTTGAATCCGGGAGGCAGAAGTTGTAGTGAGCAGAGATCTTGCCACTGTACTCCTGCCTGGGCTACTGAGTGAGACTCTGTCTCAAAGAAAAAAAAAAAAAAAAAAAAAAAAAAAAGAAAGAAAAAAATAAAGAAAGAAAAGAAAATAAATAAAACATTTTATTTCTGAACTTTTTTTTTAACTTTAATGCTTATTTTTATAGATTCAGGGAGTACTCATGGAGGATTTTTACATGGATATATTGTGCAGGATTGTGTAGTGGTGAGGGTTTGGCTTCTAGTATATCTGTCACCCAAATAGTGAACATTATACCCATAGGTAATTTTTTCAACACTCATTCTATTCCCTTCCACATCCCCCTTTTTGTACTCCCCAGTGGCTTTTATATATTTAACTTCTGTAGAGCTTTTACTCTATGTTTAACACCCTGATAAACATTTTTCATAAATTATCTTATTTCATTCTTACAACAATACTAAAAGATTAATAGTTATTTTCCTAGTTTTACGCATGAGAAAAGTGAGCCAAAGAAGTTAATAAAATTGCACAAAAATATAATTTACCAGTGTATTTATTTCCTTGGGGAAAGCAAAGATTAAATCATACAATATTAGTTTACCGTGGTGAACTCTTGTTATCTTACTCTACTAGACATTCCAGTATGTAGGATATGAGAATGTATTTTGAATTACACATTTCATTTCTCAGATCTTATCAAGACATACTCTATACTGAGCTCATGAAAACTGTTTGTGTAAACCAGCTTTTGAAAATATCTTTGTAAAAACAGAAAGACAAAGTTTAGTTTTTAAATTTACTTATTGATTGACTTACAATGTTTTACAGCATTGTAGAGATGAGTTTCCTGTGGAGGGTTAAGAAAAAACATAAGGAAAATAATGCCTCAAATACATGGAAATTTGCTGCTGGATATTACTGTGGGGTGAATTCAGTCATCGATTCTTCAAATAATTATGGAGTTTCAATCATATGCAAGACAGTCATTTAAACATTATATTGCACGCAAAGATGAATCCTATGAGGTTACTAGTCTCGAGTTTTGAAAAAGGAAATATACAGCTAGTTAAATTATTGTAACACGAGGAAGAACATAAAAATAAACATGAGGAATATATAGCTAAACACCTAAAGACATTCAGGATTTAAAAAGATTACTTCCAGATAATGATTTGTATGTTTCGAAAACCAAGTGCCTATTACACTATGTGCCTTTAAATAAAGAAATCATTGAAAGCTTCAAGAGAGCATGAGAGTTAACTTGAGTCTTGAATAATGGGAGAAGGAAAATAATATTAATTTAGCCTTCAGATATAGTCCATCACAAAAAATCACATAAGAGACATACAACTATTTACAACTATTTTTATTTTCCAAATAAGGTACAAGATTCAAAATGTTTAATGATGTACCAAATAACACATAGCTAGTAAATAATGAGGTTGGATGCCAATCAGCTGAGTTTTAACTGTTTCTTTTTCATTCTACCGCACAGAATACTTGTGGTAAACAGACAATCCTTCCAGAAAAGCATAGAACCATATATCATACAACTGGCCTAAGTTTACCTAGGCCTATTCTTTTATGTTAATAATGAACAAACTGTGATCCAGATATATCAAGAGATTTTCCCAAAGATATACTTAAAGTAGTTGAATTAGAACCAAAGTTAGGTCTTTTGATTCCTACCTTAGTATTTTTTCTTCTCACTACCCTATAGAATGATGTCAGCAAAAGTACAGTTGAAGGAATATTTGGGAAAAATAGATATATGCGAATGGCATTCACAACTCTATTTTAGGTTCTTTATATTAATATTAATGAGCTTAGCTTTGTAAGTTAAATGGCAAACATCACTAACATGAGATGAAAAGGAAAAAAAAAATTGCAACTGGGTATGTATTTATTGTCTTAGTAGGAAGTGGGGCCTGAGGAGTAATTCCTTTATTCTGATGAGCAGAGGGGCAACTGCAGGAAAGAAATCATAAAGAAGAGGGTAAAATTTTAAAATATGACTGTAGGAAAATGGATGAGACATGATTATCTTAAATAATTGCTGAAAGAGATATTCTGAAAAAACAGCTACTTGATGGTCTTTATTAAGAATTTTAAATATTACTTGCTGAGTGGTGACTGTGTTAATTGTACTGTAACATGGGGAATGCAAATAACTAAAAGTTATTGTACCAGTCCTGGGGAGAACCATAGGATTCAATTAGAGAAAAATGCTGTTAATATGTCTAGTGTGTGGAAAAAGATAACTCTCTTGATCAGATTTTCAGAGCTAATTACATATAATTGAAATATTTCTAGTAAAGACAATAAATTAAATTTATAGCAGAATATATTTTGAAGCCTTTTTCTGAAGTTTGCAAATTAACATATTTGCTAAATCTTGTATTTTGATTTAGAGTAAGGAACTAATCTTCAATTCAACAAATATGTTTCAGTTTGAATTTTAATGGATTTATTTCTTAAAATCAGCAACAACTGTAAAAGGATGATTAAGTCCAGAATATAGATTTTTCTTCCCTTCCCCACCTGCTCACATGATTCTCCTCTATGTGGCTCCACTCTCCGTTCACTTTAATCAGTATCTGTTTATTTTTCCATATGGGACCGACACGTTGACAAGTTGTTTCCTTACTGTCTGTCTTTTACTTTATTTTTAAGACAACTCTGGTAGAGTGATGGTGGTGAGGTGTATGGTTTTTATTGAGTGACATTTTCATTGTACTTCCTGTATAGGAGGTTTATATCACCTTTGTGCCTGTTTATTTTAAAAGAGAATATTTTTGAAACATGAGCCTGAGTTATTTTTAGCAGAAGCTAGCAATCTTTTCCTTCTCACCTGACTCAAATTAATTATGAGAATTACCAAAATGAGAAATCTTTCACACTATGATAGCTGGGATGCTGAGACAGGTCTCTTTATTAGGAAAATATTATTCTAAGAATTTTAATTTAAAGATAAATGTGTGAGGACTATGTAAGTATCAAGAAACACAATTGTGTAATATTTTTAATATTACTTGTTTTTTGGCGAGGAGAAGGACAGAGTCTCGCTCTTGGTGTCCAGGCTGGAGTGCAATGGCCCGATCTCGGCTCACTGCAACCTCGGCCTCCCGGGTTCAAGCGGTTTTCCTGCCTCAGCCTCCCGAGTAGCTGGGATTACAGGCGCCAGCCACCACGCCTGGCTAATTTTTGTATTTTTAGTAGAGACGGGGTTTCACCACGTTAATCATGCTGGCCTTGAACTCCTGACCTCAGATGATCCGTCTACCTTGGCCTCCCAAAGTGCTGGGATTACAGGCATGAGTCACCGCGCCCGGCCTTTAATATTACTTTTTAAACAGCTGTGCCTATTTCCTTTCCAAGGTAATTGTGGGCTTATGTTTTAAGTATAATTTACCTTGGATTCTATTCAGTACAGTGCAGATAAAGTCCTTCCTTATTACTCTTTTAGCTACACCAACCGTAAGATATTGATTTTAGCCATGTTGTTTTCTGCATGGTTGAATTTCTTACATTATATTTAAAGAGAAAAAGAAAAAAGAAGAGAAATATCTTTAAATCAGATTGATTCATAATCAAGTGCTTCCTACTTCTTAGTAGGAAACATATTAAAATAAACACCTTGAAAAATTTTGTATGCCACCTTGACACAATGGACTGTCACACTGAGGTAGTACATAGACACTGAGATTTATTGCCATGAATTTTAAAAGAATGTAAGGATGACTAAAGTCGAGTTACTGTAAATTTCAAACTCCATAAAAAGGTTTCCAGAAAGTAATGATTCACAAATGACTAATTGCTTCACAGTTGTTTTGTTTTTATAAATAAAAATGGAAAAATGTAGTAATTAGTATAGAATGTAATTTCAAAATAATTATGGATACCAATTGTATTTGACAATTTGACTTATTTTCTTGTGACATTCAGATGAATAATTTTGACTGCCATTAATATGGAAAGATCAGCTTTTTGAAAAAATTTATGAGAGACAAGTTATTTGAAATATTAGTAGCTTATTGGCAGTCTTTCTTTTTTAAAGCCATAAAGTTGAGACATTTATAGGCATCTGAGCCCAAAAGTAATTTTGGAAACTTAGAATCATAAAAATGGCAATATCAGATGTCCTTAAATAAGGACAACTATTGTTTGTGAATTTTAGGTTTATGGAATTTTTAACATTTCAGTGGAGTAAAATAGAGTTGATATGTTTTTATTGCCTTGACATTTAGTTTCAATCAATAGAAGACTATGGGGTTATTATCTAGCTGAGGGTTAGTTAAGTCATTTAAATCTGATTTCAGACAGTATTTTGGGGGTAAGATATAAAATGCCAGCAACTAGATAGAATTCAAAAATAAAGTTATTCTGACTTCACTGGACTATATACAAATTTATGATTTGTGTTTTGGCATTTTGAGTTAATTTCTCTTACATTTTATTTTGAAGTAAATCAAACTAATAAGGATCTCTTCAGAATTTCAGTGATTATCAGTAAGATATAATTTTTGCCATCTTGTAAAAGTCAAAGCAGGTGAAAAGAGGACCATGAAATTTATAAAATTGTGGGAAGACATAACTTAAGAATTTGGGACAAACTCTTGCTCGGTGCAATATCATGAAATCTCATGCCCCTTTTTAATAGTAGTCAAAAGGCAAACATGGTATCCAGTTTGGTAAATCATTTTCCTTAGTGTGTTTAAAATGATGGATGATTTCAGCTTAAATGGAGTTTTTTGATTCTCTGATTTTAATTGAAGTGTGACTATGAGTCAGATTTTATAACTACTACCACAGCTGTCTCTCTAATTTTGAAATTACATCTTTACTTTAAAGGCTTGGAGTAAATACATTAAAAAGCATTTCCCAAGATATTTTATTTTATATAGTTAGTGTGATATGGTTTATTTTGTATAAATAAGATTGGATTTAACTTCATAGTTTTGCAAACATCAGTGTTATTTGTATAGAAATATACTTCACAGACTAGTAGAAAGGTATTAATGGTTTTTGTGGAATTGTTCAGTGGTACAAACACTACATATTGAGTTTTCCTGAGCCCAAAAAGTATGAGTGGCTATGTATTTGTACGTAAACACCATAAATACGTGGATAAAGCACAATATTCTTACTGGGAAATTTTATCAGGTGTTCATTAGTCAGTTAATAGAAATGATGGAGACAAGTTGTCCCAAATTAATGTTCTTTTTAGCTTTGTGCTTTCATGGCTAAATATTTAACTCGAGGCAGTTTAAGAGTGGATAATTCCCTATCTAACAAAATTAGCCTATGGATAGCATTTTTACTGTGTTTTGAAATCTGCAGAGTTACATACTTTATTCATTTTTTCCAACTTTTATTTCAGCTTCAGAGAGTACATGTGCAGTTTTGTTACATAGATAAATTCTGTGTCTCTGAGGTTTGGTGTACAAATGACCCCATCACTCAGGTAGTAAGCATAGTACCCAATAGGTAGTTCTTTTAATTCACAGTTAACAACCGCCTACCTCAAGTGATCCTCAGGATCCAGTGTTCCCAGCTTTGTGTTCATGAGTACTCAATGTTTAGCTTCCACTTACAAACGAGAACATGTGGTGTTTGGCTTTATGTTTCCACATTAATTAGCTTAGAATAATGGCCTCCAGCTGCATCCATGTTGATGCAAAGAATATGATTTTTTTCTTTTTTATGGCTGTATGGTATTATATAGTGTATATATACCACGTTTTCTTTATCCAGTCCACCACTGATGAATATCTAGGTTGATTTTTATGTCTTTGCCATTGGGAATAGTGCTGCGATTAACATAGGAGTGCATGTTACTTTTTAGTAGAATAATTTATTTTCCTTTGGGTATATATCCAGTAGTTGGATTGCTGGGTGGAATGATAGTTCTGTTTTAAGTTCTTTGAGAAACCTCCACACTGTTTTCCACAGAGGGTGAATTAATTTACATTCCCACCAGTTGTATGTAAGTGTTCCTTTAACTCTGCAACTTTGCCAACATCTGTTATTTTTTACTTTTTAACAATAGCCATTGTGACCGGTGTGAGATGGTATCTCATTGTGGTTTTGATTTGCATTTCTCTGTTGATTAGTGATGTGGAGTATTTTTTTCATATCTTTGTTGGACACATATATATCTTCTTTTGAGAAGTGTCTGTTCATGTTCTTTGCCCATTTGTTAACAGGGTTGTTTGTTTTTTGTTTGTTTGTTATTTTATTTAAAGAATAACATATTAATAAAAAAATAATTTTAGGTATGTTTTGAACTCTAGGACAATGTTCAATGTCCTTTACACTGATTAAGGAATTTTTAAATTTTATCAATGACTTCACAGCCAGCAGTTAATAATCACAAGAAAGGGAGCAAATCCACCATTCTATGACAAACATGATTTGAGAATTTAAATGAGGAAAAAATCATTTTACACCACAAACATTAGACCATATGCATTTTCCCATAATTAATATTCACAATCTCGTGGTTACATAAAATTCTACACAGAGCTACTACAACACACCACTAAA